>NW_003571058.2:819632-855326 GCF_000001405.40 Homo sapiens
ACTTTGCACCTCATTGGAGAGCACCATGATGGGGTTTCCAAGGCCAACTTCTCCATTGGTCCCATGATGCCTGTCCTTGCAGGAACCTACAGATGCTACGGTTCTGTTACTCACTCCCCCTATCAGTTGTCAGCTCCCAGTGACCCTCTGGACATGGTGATCATAGGTGAGAGTGTCCAGACATTCTTCTCATTGTCATTGGGATGCAGAGTGAATGATCCAGGACTTGGAGACCCAGGTGGTTGTAAGGAAGATGAGCTTGGTATTCTTATGGAGAGAGACTGACTTGGTGAGGTCTGTGCCAACAGAGACAGAGAAACAAGAGACACAAGTACAGACCAGGTGTCATAACAGAGGACAAACACAGGGGCCATACAGGGAGTTAGAAAAGACAGAAAGAGTTAAAGGAGACAGACAGACATGTCCCAGACAGAGGTGTCCTTCCATGCTGACTTTGCTCAGAGACCTGGCACAGGTTAGAAGTTTCATTTCTGTTTTACCTCCACAAAGTGTTCTCTACCAGGAGAACCCAAGGACACCCATATTTCTGACCTGAGTTGGGCCCTGTGGCCTCAGGCCTTGTGGCACCTACAGATGCCATGCTTATTCTGACACCTCTGACTTCCATGCAATGGAGAATAATCGTCCCAAAATATCATGGCCCCAGAACACCAACCCCTGTATGCTGTGTGAACTTGTGGTCTCCAGACTGGATTCTGAGGCTCACATTCCAAATAACCCCACATATCACATATGAGAGGATCACTGAGAAGCACAGAGAGAAATCAGGGACACCAAAAAGCAAAGACATAAACACACAGAGAAAGAGCCAGAGGAAGGAGATTGAGAGACTCACAGACACATAAAGAGAGAGAAGAGGGCAGAGAAGTGGAGAGAATGATGGAAGAGAGCAGAGAAAACCACTAAAATTAGAGTCCTGAGGGCGAGGCACAAGGGCATAGAAAGATGGAGATGTGGGGATGAATTGCAGAGATTCCAAAGAGAACTAGAGAGACCGAGAGGCAGAGCAAGACAGATGATAGATGGATAGATACAGATAGATGATGGATAGATATAGATAGATGATATATAGGTAGATGATAGATAATAGGTTATAGATACATAGATGATGATTGATTGATTCATTAATAGATGATACATAGAGATGATGATGATGAAGGTAGATGGATAGATAATACATAGAGATAGAGAGGAAGACAAAGAGAGAAATAATAGAGAGAGAGAGATGATACATATATATAGATAATAGATGATTGACGGATAGACAATTGATAGATAAATAGATGATATATAGATATAGATGACAGGTAGAGAATTTGTAGATAGGCACCGAATAGATAAATAGATGGATTGATAGATAATAGATAGAAATATGCAGAAAGTTATGAACGGGACACAAACTGAGAAACTCAGAGTTAAAAAAAGTAACATCAAGTCAACCAATCCAAGGAGAGCCAGAGAGAATAAAACAATCCAAAAACGGAAAACATAACTAGAGGTAGGGAAGTGAGGTCAGAGACCTACAGAGACAGAGAAGGTGGAAGGAGGAAATAGACATGAAGAGAGATGGGGTGGAGGGTGAGACAGAGAAAGAGAGCATTAGGCCATAGAGCAGGGGAGTGAGTTCTCAGGTCAGGTGTGAGGGGAGCTGTGACAAGGAAGATCCCCCCTGAGGAAACTGCCCCTTCTCCTTCCAGGTCTATATGAGAAACCTTCTCTCTCAGCCCAGCCGGGCCCCACGGTTCAGGCAGGAGAGAATGTGACCTTGTCCTGCAGCTCCATCTATCCAGGGAAGGGGAGGCCCATGAACGTAGGCTCCCTGCAGTGCGCAGCATCAACGGAACATTCCAGGCCGACTTTCCTCTGGGCCCTGCCACCCACGGAGGGACCTACAGATGCTTCGGCTCTTTCCGTGACGCTCCCTACGAGTGGTCAAACTCGAGTGATCCACTGCTTGTTTCCGTCACAGGTGAGGAAACCCCATATCTGTCCCATGTCCTATGATCCTAGAGCCTTAGCTGAGGAGCTTCCTGCTGATGATGGAGAGAAGCATGGACAGATGCAGAGAGAAGACGCAGCATGCCTGTGAGGGAGGGATCAGGGCGCAGGATGGCACACACAGCACCTCCAAACCCTCCTGCATGGCCTGCATGGAGGCCTCCGATTAGGGCTCCAGGCACCCAGGCAGATGTAGAAAGCGGTCAGGAGAGACCCAGAGCAGGGGAGACTGGGCTCAGTTTGGGGAGATCAGAGGTTCCCTCAGCCCCTCAACCTTACCCATTTCCCAGAAGCCCTTCCTGGCCTCTCACCCACACAGAGATGTCATCACCAGCAACCCCTACATCCTTTTCTTTTTGTTTGAAAAAATATTCATTGAGGTTAAATATACCTATATAGCTTACCACTTTTAACATTTTTTTTTTTTGAGGTGGAGTCTAGCTCTGTCTCCTATGCTGGAATGCAGTGGCACAATCTCAGCTCACTGTAACCTCCGCCTCCTGGGTTCAAGCGATTCTCCTGCCTCAGCCACCTGAGTAGCTGGTACTACAGGCGCCCATCACCACGCCAGGCTACTTTTTGTATTTTTAGTAGAGAGGGGGTTTCACCATGTTGGTCGAGCTGCTCTGGAACTCCTGACCACGTGATCCACCCGCCTCAGGCTCCCAAAGTGCTGGGATTACAGGCATGAGCCACCGCGCCCGGCCACGTTTACCAATTTTAAGTGTAAGGTCTAGTGGTCATAAATACATACATATAAATTTTTTGTTTGTTTGTTTTATCCTCCACCCTTTTCTTCCTGGCCTCTGGTAGCCACCATTCTACTCTCTATCTTCATGAGATCCACCTTTTAGCTCCTGTATATGGGTGAGAAATGGGAATCTTTGTAATGACTTCCAGTTCCATCCATGTGGCTGCAAATATCAGGATGTTATTCTTTCTATGGATGAGTAGTCTCCGCTGTGCGTATGTACTACATTCTCTCTATCCATTCATCCACTGATGGGCAGGTAGGTTGACTCCACATCTTGGCTACTGTGAAGAGTGCTGCACCAATCATACGAGTGCAGATATCACTTCGATACATTGATTTACTTTCCTTTGGATATAAACCCAGTAGTGAAATTGCTGGATACTATGAAAGTTCTCTTTTTAGTTTTTCGTTTGTTGTTTTGTTTTTGTTTTTGAGACAGTTTCCCTCTGTGCCCAGGCTGGAGTACAAGTGATGTGATCTTGGCTCATTGCAACCTCCGCTTCCTGGGTTCAAATGATTTTCCTGCCTCAGCCTCCCTAGTAGCTGGGATTACAGGTGCACGCCACCATGCCGGGATACTTTTTGGTTTTTTTTAGTGTACATGGGGTTTCCCCAGGTTGGCTAGGCTGCTCTCAAACTCATGACCTCAACTGAGGTGCCCGCCTCGGTCTCCCAAAGTGCCGGGATTACAGGCATGATCCACTTCATCCAACCTCTTTTTAGTTCTTTAAAGGACTTCCATACTTTTCTCCGTAATGGCTGTACTAATTTACACTCCTACCAACAGGGTACCAGGGTTCTCCTTTCTCTACCACCTTGCCAGCATTTCTTTTGCCTGTCTTGCAGCTAAAAGCCATTTTATTTTATTTCATTTTATTTTGAGATGGAGTTTCGCTCTTCTCACCCAGGCTGGAGTGCAGTGGTGCGATCTCGGCTCACCGCAACCTCCACCTCCCAGGTTCAAGCGATTCTCCTGCCTCAGCCTCCCGAGTAGCTGGAATTACAGGCACACGCCACCACGCCCGACTAATTTTTGTATTTTTAGTAGAGACAGCGTTTCTCCATGTGGGTCAGACTGGTCTCAAACTCCCGACCTTATGAGATTCGCCCACCTCGGGCTCTCAGAGTTCTAGGATGACAGACGTGAGCCACCTCGCCCGGCCTAAAAGCCATTTTAATGGGGTGAGATGAAAACTCACTTTGATTTTAATTCGCGTTTCTCTGATGATGAGTGATACTGAGCACTTTTTCGTATGTGGGGAAATTTCATGTCTTTTGCTCCTTTTTCAATTAAATCATTTGTTTTATTGAGTTGTTTGAGCTTCTTATACTTCTAGTTATTAATCCCGTCTCAGATGCATAGTTTGCACATATTTGCTCCCAATCTGTGGGTTGTCTCTTCACTTTGTTGGTTTATTTTTAGCGGTGCAGAAGTTGCTTAGTTTGAGGTAATCCCAATGGTCTATTTTTGCTTCGATTACTTGTGTTTTGAAGGTTTAAAACAAAATGTCTTCCTTCAGACAAATGTCCTGGAGCATTTCCCCAATATTTTCTTCTACGTGTTTCACAGGTTCAGGCCTTAGACTCACATCTTTAATCCACTTTCATTTGATTTTTGTGTATGGTGACAGGTAGAGGTGCAGTTTCATTCCTCTGCATGTAGATGTCCAGGTTTCCCTGCACTGTTTATTGAAAAAACTGTCCTTTCCTGATTGTGAGTTCTTGGCACCTTTGTCAAAGTCCATTGGATGGGCTGGGCATGGTGGCTAACACCAGCAACTTCAGCACTTTGGGAGGCCAAGGCTGGTGGATCACCTGAGGACAGGAGTACAAGATTACTCTGGCCGACGTGATGAAACATCGTCTCCACTAAAAATATAAAAATTAGCTGAGCATGGTGGTCAGCACCTGTAATACTACTACTCAGGAGTTTGAGGCAAGAGAATTGATTGAACCCAGGAGGCTGAGGTTGCAGTGAACCGAGATTGCACCTCTGCACTCCAGCCTGGGTGACAGAGCGAGACTCCATCTCAAAAGAAAAAATAAAAAAAATTGGATGTAAATGCATGGATTATATCTGTGTTCTTCATTCTGCTCCGTTGTTCTATGTGCCTTTCTTCATGCCAACATCATGCTGTTTTGCTTACTACAGCTCTGTAACATATTTTGAGATCAGGTAGTGTGATGCTCCTGTTTTCTCTTTATACCTTGAAGTCTCAAGACAGTGGGCGTCACATACAAAAATTATGGAAGAAAGGATCCCTGGACTCCCAGGGCCCAATGTTAGATAACAGAGTGTTGGCCATGAACCAAACTCAAAGATTTCCACTGAGTAGAGGACAGACACCCTCATTTCCTCACCTCTCTCCTGTCTCATGTTCTAGGAAACCCTTCAAATAGTTGGCCTTCACCCACTGAACCAAGCTCCAAAACCGGTGAGTACAGGACCCTCTTATATCCGCTTTTGGAACCCTGGGGAGGTGGAAACCTTGGATTCAGGCGTTGACTCAGCATCTCACAGCTCTGACATTGTACGCCTGTCTTCTACCATCTCCGAACTCCAGATACTCCAACAGCGAAAGGGATCTGGGCCCAACACAGGGCTCAGTGAAATCTCTTCATCTCTCATTTTATGGAGCTGAGACCTCCTACAAGCTAGAAGAATGATTGCCAATCTGACATCCTTCTCAGGAAAAATGCAATGTTTGTTCTGCTTGCATTCCTAACTGGAGGATAAATTCCTGGGGGCTTGAGAGAGGGAAGGGAAGCGAACATCTGATGAGGGCGAGGTGTTTTAGAGAAGTTCCACTTGCCAAGGAATGAGCTCCTGTTGGTCATGAAACAACCCTGGCTGACTCAGCAGAGCAAGAGCCTTGCCGTAACAGAGAACAGAGCTCATGCACGCACACTTTGACTCACTGACTTATTCAGCCACGGCCCCATGCTCAGGTTGTGCAGTGTGGAAGCTTTTCCTATTGTTGCCATAACAAATTTCCACAAGATTCGTGGGTGAAAACAAAACGGTTATTTAATTATCTTACAGTGCTCTAGCTCAAAGCATGAAGTGCATCTCACTGGGCTAAAATCAAGATGACAGCAAGCCTGCCTTCCCTCTGAGGATTCCAGGCAAGAATCTGCTTCTCACTTGTCCCATCTTATAAAGGCTCCCAGTTCCTTGGCTGCTGGTCCCCTTCCTCCTTCCTCAAAACCCACAAAGACTGGTCACATCTCACATGGCATCACTCAGACCCTTCTTCCTTACCACACCTCTTTCTCTGAATGCTGCTCTCCCTTCTTCCTCATCTTTTGAAAACTTGGGGATTCTATTGGGTTCACCAAGATGAAAATCCGTCATAATCTCCCGGAAATCATTCAGGATACCCTTGTTTTAAGTTCAGCTGATTAGCAACCATAATTCCATCTGCAATCTTCATTCCTCCTTTCCATGTAAAATAACATATTCACAAGCTATGGAGGCTAGGACAGGGACATTTTGGGGTGGGACAGCATTCTCCTGCCTTCCACAAATGGTGAACAAGATGCATTTGGCCTCTGCTCTTGGGACACTGATATTGCAGATGGTTAAATGGGAGGACAGAAAATGAATGCACAAGTGGACCAATAAATGAATGATCCATTGGGAAGCATCTGTGCATGAAATCTATTTGTTTGTTTGTTCGTTTGTTTATTGAGACAGAGTCTCCCTCTGTCTTCCAGGCTACAGTGCAGTGTCACGATCTTGGCTCACTGCAACCTGCGTCTCCTGGATCCAAGTGATTCTCCTGCCTCACCCTCTCGAGTAGCTGGGATTACAGGCAACTGCCACCATGCCCGGCTAATTCTTTTTGTATATTTTTTGTAGAGAGGATGTTTCACCATGTTGGCCAAGCTTGTCTGAAACTCCCAACCTCAAGTGATCCAACCATCTCAGCATCCCAAAGTACTGGGATAAAAGACGTGAGCCACTGTGCCCAGCCAGAATTCAAAATCAATAATAGATAATGCTGAGTGTATAATTTTGGGTGACAGAGAAGGTCTCACTAATCAGATATTTGTGACATTAATGAAAAACACGGATTGAACCCCTGAAAGATTGGCGGAAGGATTTTCCACACACAGCTGTCAGCCGTGAAGGCAGAAAGCTGAAAACAATCTGATGTGGAAGGAAGAGGCTCTGCCTGAAATGCTGGGAATGAGATGGGGAGAATGACAAGACAACTGTAGAGAGACGGAGAGCACACTGGGTACACAGGAAACTAAGGAGCAACAAGGAGTGTGTGTTTGACACTCACAGCCGTTGGATTCACCTCGAGGTAACCAGGAATCCCTACATGATTAATAGTGACTGACATGAAAATAAGGGAGGCCCAGGTGCGTAACTGGAATCTAGGAGACTGTGGAAAAGGCAATTGCCACCCCACTGGTGAAATGTGGTGCTGATTTTGACACTAAGTGGATGAAGCAGATGGATATAAGCTATGTTTGTGAGGTAGAATCATTGGCTGGAAAGGCTTGCTGGGTTTGATTTTCCTACTTGTTTAATCCTCGCTTAATTAATTTCTTTCTGAGATTTATTCATCCTACACATAAATCAATACCTGGCAAAGGAGTGACAGATATATGAGGGGTGGTGGAAATGAAGGGACCTATTATAGCATAATATACAAGTCTGTGAACGGTGGCTCACGCCTGTAACCCAGCACTGCAGGAGGCCAAGGCGGGTGGATTCCATGAAGTCAGGAGTTCCAGACCAGCCTGGCCAACATGGTGAAACCCTGTCTCTACTAAAAATACAAAAATTAGCCGAGCATGGTGGTGCATCCCTGTAATCCCAGCTCCTACTCTGGAGGATGAAGCAGGAGAATGACTTCAACCCAGGAGGTGGAGGTTGCAGTGAGTGGAGATTGCATCACTGCACTCCAGCCTGGGTGACACAAGGAGACTCCGTCTCAAAAAATAAAAATAAGAAATGCATAAATATAATAAAACACACACGAATGACAAAGGCACCTGAATTCCAATCATCATTTTTCTATTTCTCTATAATTACTTCTTTGATCCTTTATCTTATCCATTAGGCAATGAGCCTAAAACCTCTTCCCTATTTGGCTTTCTGTGAGCATGAGATCACATAGAAAATGTGAAAGCCCGCTGAATCCTCCAGCACGGATCCTGGAATAGAGAAAGTGCTCTGGTCATCGCAAAAAAAAACTTGCCCACTCACCCAAATCCCCCACCTCACCCCTACTTCCAATCACCTGTGGAGATTCAGATAGACCATGGGGAGGAAACATTAATACTCCTTGGAGTGAGTCCAGATCTTGGAATCAGAGATCAGCGACAGCACTAGCTCCTGTTCCCCTTTCCTACTAATTCACAGGAGGACAGGTGGTATTGAAGCAATAGATGGTGGAGGGGGTGGTCCTTCCCCCAGCCTCTCGGGTAGAACAGCAGCCTAACATGTGTCTCCCGAGATCACAAAGAGCAGCACATTTCACACGGGCTTCAACACTATTTTCTGGCTGTTTGACATAAGAGAATCTTGCTTCGCTATTTTTAATCGTGATTTCACCTTTGTTTCCTTTCCTTGGTGAATGCAATTTGTTTGACTCAAGAATGCTGTGGATGTAGAAATCCTAAAGCACATTCGCTGTGTATCAATCCCAGTGCAGTCTTCCCAGAGAAGACTCTAAACAAATCCTGGACTGCACCTGGGCCTATGCCAATTCCTATCACTCACCGTCACTCCAGGGAGACAGAACACACAGAGAATACGTTACATAGGCAGGTTCATTACTAACAGATAAGCAGTGAGTGACAACAGAAGCCTGCATTTCAATGTGAGCCAGTCCCTCAAGGCTCAGAAAAGCTGCTCGGGACATATGGAGTCACCCCATTTGCAGTGTAACTGGGGGAAGCCAGAAAGCAGCCCAGCCTGGGTTTTGTACCCTGGAGCCACAGGAAGCACTCAGCTAAAGCACTGCATGACGTCCTCCTCCAGGAAGAACAGGAAGACAGCCCAGGCTGTTCTGAGACATTCCTCCTGATCTCAGGATGTTGCTATCTTAGTCCATTTTTGTTGCTCTAAAGGAACACTTGAGCCTGGGTAACTTCTAAAGAAAAGAGATTGGTTTGCCTCACAGTTCTGCAGGCTGTACTGGAAGCATGGCACCAGAATCTATTTCTCGTGATGGCCTCAGGCTGCTCCCACTCTGGCAGAAGGGAAGGAGGGTCTGTCTGTGCAGAGACCGCAGAGATCACACGGCAAGAGAGAGAGTAAGGGGGAGAGGGAGCGATGGAGCTTCCAAGCTCTTTTTAACAACCAGCTCTCCAGGAACTAACAGAGGGGGAACTTGCTAACCCCGTCTCCTTGGGACAGCATTGGTCTGTTCATGATGGATCCACCTCCATGACCCAAACACCTCTGAAGAGGCCCAACCTCCCACAATGGGGGTGAAATTTCAATGTGAGGTTTGAAAGGGTCAAACATCTCAACTAAAGTAGTTGTATCCTCAGCACGTTCTATGGTTACTATGAGAGCTATAATTGAGAAAGCAGGGGAAAGCTAGGTCTCCCGCCATTTGGGTGCTTGTCCTAAAGAGACGTTGTATGTGGTTACCTGCCAATCAAGAAATGCGAGACAATTCATAAAGAGGAACTGCTATGATTAGCTTCTTATTGGTGTCTCCTCTTCTTCCAGGTAACCCCAGACACCTACATGTTCTGATTGGGACCTCAGTGGTCAAAATCCCTTTCACCATCCTCCTCTTCTTTCTCCTTCATCGCTGGTGCTCCGACAAAAAAAGTAAGTCTCACGAAGCAGAGGCCAGAGAGCTCAGGGCCATGTGGGGAAGCAGGATGGGAGCACGCGGATGTGTGTTCCTCACCAGCAGGATGGTCCCTGGCCCAAGACAGGAGCCACAGAGGCAGGACTTTCTAGAGAGAGCACCAGATTCCCTTCCCCTGCCTTCAGCTCACAGACCATTGCCTGATTCTGAACTGTATCCTCACGTCCCCTGCAGCCACTCACATCCAGGAGAAGGTTCCATGACAGGCAGAAAGTGGGAGATAGAATCAATGGGATGGGACCTCAGAGCTATTCATGGGATGGGTCCTTGAACTCAGAGAGATAGAATGTCTGAGTCTGCTGTTGGCAACTGAGGGACCTCAGGCACCTATGGCCTCCCCCTGTTTGTTGGTATCTGCTTATGAAATGAGGACCCAGAAGTGCCCTCCGAGCTCTTTTGTTGACTTCCGTCTTCTACAGATGCTGCTGTAATGGACCAAGAGCCTGCAGGGAACAGAACAGTGAACAGCGAGGTAGGTGCTCCTCGGCCCAGCCTCGTGGCTAGTCTTATTCCCAAAGAGTCCTGAAAAATGTGAGCACCCTCCCTCACTCAGCATTTCCCTCTCTCCAGGATTCTGATGAACAAGACCATCAGGAGGTGTCATACGCATAATTGGATCACTGTGTTTTCACACAGAGAAAAATCACTCGCCCTTCTGAGAGGCCCAAGACACCCCCAACAGATACCAGCATGTACATAGAACTTCCAAATGCTGAGCCCAGATCCAAAGTTGTCTTCTGTCCACGAGCACCACAGTCAGGCCTTGAGGGGATCTTCTAGGGAGACAACAGCCCTGTCTCAAAACCGGGTTGCCAGCTCCCATGTACCAGCAGCTGGAATCTGAAGGCATCAGTCTTCATCTTAGGGCATCGCTCTTCCTCACACCACGAATCTGAACATGCCTCTCTCTTGCTTACAAATGTCTAAGGTCCCCACTGCCTGCTGGAGAGAAAACACACTCCTTTGCTTAGCCCACAATTCTCCATTTCACTTGACCCCTGCCCACCTCTCCAACCTAACTGGCTTACTTCCTAGTCTACCTGAGGCTGCAATCACACTGAGGAACTCACAATTCCAAACATACAAGAGGCTGCCTCTTAACACAGCACTTAGACACGTGCTGTTCCACCTCCCTTCAGACTATCTTTCAGCCTTCTGCCAGCAGTAAAACTTATAAATTTTTTAAATAATTTCAATGTAGTTTTCCCGCCTTCAAATAAACATGTCTGCCCTCATGGTTTCGGTAACGAGACTCTTTTCTTGCCTAAGGCTTCCGGTGTTATCATTACCGTGTCCACATAACCCCATCTGTTCTCCATTGGGTTCTCAGCCCTGGACTCTGAGCTTCTGGAAGCAGAATGGAGCCTGATTTGTCTCTGAGACTCCAATTTCCATCCAAAGATACAGCACATAGGAGGCTCCAAGGATCGTGAATCACATGAACAAGTGATATTCTTACTCTCTGCAGACCTGGAAAGCTGGCAGAGTCATTCCACGATGAAACATTTGTAGAGTCATAGGCCTTGTTAGCCTCATCTCCACGGGGACACATATCAACATATCATCTTTCATAATATAAATATACAGTCGGTCCTCCATATCTGTGGGGTTTACAGGTGTTTATTGAACCAACAATAAATCAAAAATATTTTCAGAAAAAAATCCCCGAAGTTTCAAGAAGCAAAAAACTATGTTGAATCGACACAAATTGAGTGGCGTGTAGGCTGTGTCAGGAATTATAAGTAATCAAGAGATGATTTCATGTATACAGGAGGATGTGCATGGGTTCTATGCAATTACTATGCTATTTTTTTTTTTTGAGACAGTCTCACTCTCTCACCCAGGCTGGAGTGCAGTGGCATGATCTCAGCTCACTGCAACCTCCGCCTCCCAGGTTCAAGCGATTGTCTTCCCTCAGCCTCCCCAGTAGCCTCCCCTAGGATTACAGGCACGTGCCACCATGCACAGATAAATTTTTTTGTGTGTGTATTTTTAGTAGAGATGGGGTTTCAGAATGTTGGACCAGCTGGTCTTGAACTCCTGACCTCGTGATCTACCCAACTCAGCCTCCCAAAGTGCTGGGATTACAGGCGTGAGCCACGGTGCCCAGCTTCGCTATGCCATTTCATGCAAGGGGCTTGAGCATCTGCAGATTTTGGTATCTGAATGGGGATCCTGGAACCAATCACCCAGGAATAGTGAAGGACCACAGTATATAATTTTTATTTGTCAATCTTAAAAATAAAGCATAAAAAGTTTACAACAACAAGATAAAAAATAAGAAGTGTTTTTATAGTGTGAGGATAAGTTTAGATTTATTTTTTCCTACGTGTAACCCTATGGTCCTGTGTTATTTATTGAGAAAATATTCTATTCCACCTTAAACTACATGGCAGCCTTTGTCAACTATAAAGGGACTGTGTATCCACAGATGTATTTTAGACACAGTTTTCTGCCCAGTGGTTCTCTGTATCCCCTCTCATGAGGATGCTGCATTTCATATAAACTTATAGAACCCCTTAAAATTTGGTAACCTGAGTTCTCTGATTTGTTATTATAGGTTATTTAGTTTGCTTTTTTTTTTCTTTCTTGAGACAGACTCTTCCTCGGTCACCCAAGCTGGAGTTCAGTGGCTTGAGCTCAGCTCACTGCAGCCTCCGCCTCCCAGGTTCAAGCAATTCTCGTGCCTCAGGTTTAGTACTAGAAACTCATCAGGAAAATTAGAATGGCTTTTTGTCACAATTACTCTGATAATGTTAATAATACCTCTTAGATATTTTGCACATTACACATGAAGAAAAGTTTGAATCTCAGATAAAAACAAAAATACATCAAAAGTCTTTAATGTAAGCACAGAATTCAATCACCTCATGTGTGAGAGGTTGGATCTGAGACGTCTTTTGAGTCTGGTCATAGTGAAGGATGCAAGGTGGCAATTGTAGTCACAACAATTTCCAGGAAGCCATGTTCCGCTCTTGAGCGAGCACCCACTGGGCCTCATGCAAGGTAGAAAGAGCCTGCGTACGTCACCCTCCCATGATGTGGTCAACATGTAAACTGCATGGGCAGGGCGCCAAATAACATCCTGTGCGCTGCTGAGCTGAGCTGGGGCGCGGCCTCCTGTCTGCACCGGCAGCACCATGTCGCTCACTGTCGTCAGCATGGCGTGCGTTGGTGAGTCCTGGAAGGGAATAGAGGGAGGGAGAGTGGGGATGGAGATCTCGGCCTAGAGGTAAAGATATGGGCCTGGAGTGGAGATATGGGCCTGGAGTGGAGATATGGGCCTGGGTGTGGAGATATGGGCCTGGAGGTGTAAATATGGGCCTGGAGTGGAGATATGGGCCTGGAGGGGAGATATGGGCCTGGGTGTGGAGATATGGGCCTGGAGTGGAGATACGGGCCTGGAGTGGAGATATGGGCCTGGGGTGGAGATATGGGCCTGCAGGTGGAGATCTGGGCCTGGAGTGGAGATATGGGCCTGGAGTGGAGATATGGGTCTGATGTGGAGATATGGGCCTGGAGTGGAGATATGGGCCTGGAGTGGAGATATGGGCCTAGAGGGGAGATCTGGGCCTGGAGTGGAGATATGGGTCTGATGTGGAGATATGGGCCTGGAGTGGAGATATGGGTCTGATGTGGAGATATGGGCCTGGAGTGGAGATAGGGGCCTGGAGTGGAGATATGGGCCTGGAGTGGAGATCTGGGCCAGGAAGTGTTGATCTGGGCCTGGAGCCTGGGTCTCTCCACAGCTGAGAGCCCTGTTCTTGGCAGCAGGTAGCAGGGAGGCTAAGTTTACCTTCAGCCCAGCAAGGGCCTGGCTGCCAAGACACACAGTGCAGTGGGGGCAGCAGGGTGCCCTGGTTTGCCTGCAGTTGGATCGTCTATCATGATCTTTCTTTCCAGGGTTCTTCTTGCTGCAGGGGGCCTGGCCACTCATGGGTGAGTCCTTCCCCAAACCTTAGGGTGTCATCTCCCCACATAAGAGGATTTTTCTGAAACAGGAGGGAAGTCCTGTCGGGGAGTCTCTCATAAACTAGGAAGAGGGGACCCTTGGATACTCGGCCCACATTTCTGACCTCGCCCTCCCCGGCCTTTCTTTCCCTTTCCTGAGTCAAGCTCTGTGAAGACTGGGGTGAGACTGGGGTGCTCCAAGCTGGGGTGTGCAGGGAGGAAGTGGTGTCAGCAGCAGAGAAAGAGAGGGATGCAGTGCTAGGAACAGCAGGTCCTCTGAGGACAAAGGTATAACTGACACCCTCCAGCGTTTCCGTGACGGTAGGGACTGCAGTGTGGCTGCGGTCTTTCTACCAGAAGAGGGGGGAAACCACAGCCATGGCCCTGACATTCCAAATCCTCTGAGGGGGCTCAGTTCATGAATTGGCTGATATTCCATTCACATAGGACATGCCCTCCATGCCGTGTCTACTTTGTGTTGTTTTATGTGAGTAATTTTGCAGTATTAAAATCTAGTAAGAGTCACTTATTCAGCACTTGCTCAAAGTTCTCAGCTGACACTTGTTGTAGGGAGACGCCATGTCTATGTGGGGTGGGTCCTTCCTGTAGCCCTGGGCACCCAGGTGTGGTAGGAGCCTTAGAAAGTGGAAATGGGAGAATCTTCTGAGCACAGGGAGGGAGGGGCGGCTCCACATCCTCCTCTCTAAGGCAGTGCCTCCTTCTCCCCCAGGTGGTCAGGACAAACCCTTCCTGTCTGCCCGGCCCAGCACTGTGGTGCCTCGAGGAGGACACGTGGCTCTTCAGTGTCACTATCGTCGTGGGTTTAACAATTTCATGCTGTACAAAGAAGACAGAAGCCACGTTCCCATCTTCCACGGCAGAATATTCCAGGAGAGCTTCATCATGGGCCCTGTGACCCCAGCACATGCAGGGACCTACAGATGTCGGGGTTCACGCCCACACTCCCTCACTGGGTGGTCGGCACCCAGCAACCCCCTGGTGATCATGGTCACAGGTCAGAGGCTTTCTGTCTGGGCTTCTCACTGTCCCACCTCCTGAATCCCAGAGCTTCTGGTGGGGGTGTCCATCAGGGTCCCATCACCCAGGCCCCAACTGTATTTGGGGTCAAGGGGGATTGAATACAGGGGAAATGGGCGCTGTGGTGGGAAGAATCACTGTCGCCAATGATGGCTACATTGTAAACCCTGGAGCCTGTGACTATTTATGTTATAGGGCAGGGGACTGAAGGGGAAGGTGGAGCTCAGGTTGTTGATGAGTTGACCTTGAGATGGGGAGACAGCCTGGACTGTCCTGCTGGGCTCAGTGTAATCACAAGGGTCCGCGTGAGAGGTGGAGGAAGAGGGGAGTGGGGATTAGAGCAGTGTAGTGGGAGGGAGACGCTATCAGCCACTGTGGGCTTTGAAGGTGGAGGAAGGCCACTAGTCACAGAATGCAGGTGGCCTCTAAGGGCTGGAGAAGTCAAGAGAACTGATTCGCTGATTCTCCAGAGGGAACGCAGCCCTGCAGATGCCTTGATTTCAGCACAGGGAGAACTGGATCCAATTTCTGTCCCCAGAAGTGGAAGGGGTCAGTGTGTTCTCTCCTGCTGCCATGTTTGTGATAATTTTCTGCAGCAGCAACAGGAAACCGACACAGGAACCCAGGTCAAGGACAAGCTAGGAAACCAAACAAGGATAGCCAGGTGTGGTGGTGGGCACGAGTAATCCAACGACTGGGGAGGCTGAGGCAAGATAATCACTTGAACCGGGGAGGCAGAGGTTGCAGTGAGCCAAGACAACACCACTGCACTCCAGCCTGGGTGAAAAAGTGACTGTCTCAAAAATAAATTAATTAATCAATTAATTAAAGAAACCAAACAAGGAGAAGGTTGGCTACCGTGGGATCAGCAAGGGTGGGATGCTGATGCCACCACCAGGCTCCATCCACATAGGAAGGGGTTGATGCTCCTGGAACCAGCACCAGGGACCACCCTATGGAAGCTGGGGCCATGGAGAAGGCACAGACATGGCAGGAGAGGCTCCCAATCCCCATCAGGAACAGGGTGTGTGGACACTGATGTCTGCCTTACTGATGAGTTGATACCTCTGCCAGAGACTCCAATTTGTTCAAAAGAGATTGATTCAGGCTGCTGAGAGCCTGGACATGCAGCCTGTCCTCTTCCACCCCCACATAGACAGCAGGAAAGAGACTAGTGGGAAAGAGATACAACAGCCCAAGAGATGAGGCTCTCTTCACAGTGGGAAGGGAGTCAGGGGCTACTGGAGACAGAGGGACAGAGAAGAGGGAGGAAGACAAATGGAGGGACCTGCACCAGGGGATATGGGCACAGAAAAGACACGGAGACACAGAGAGGGAGGAGAGAGACAGACCTCTGGGAGGGGAACCCTCACTCATTCCAGGTGCCATGGATGGGATGATAAAGAGAGATGCCTTCTAAACTCACAACTTCTCTTTCTAGGAAACCACAGAAAACCTTCCCTCCTGGCCCACCCAGGGCCCCTGCTGAAATCAGGAGAGACAGTCATCCTGCAATGTTGGTCAGATGTCATGTTTGAGCACTTCTTTCTGCACAGAGAGGGGATCTCTGAGGACCCCTCACGCCTCGTTGGACAGATCCATGATGGGGTCTCCAAGGCCAACTTCTCCATCGGTCCCTTGATGCCTGTCCTTGCAGGAACCTACAGATGTTATGGTTCTGTTCCTCACTCCCCCTATCAGTTGTCAGCTCCCAGTGACCCCCTGGACATCGTGATCACAGGTGAGAGTGTCCAGACATTCTTCTCATTGTCATTGGGACACAGAGTGAATGATCCAGGACTTGGAACCCCCAGGTGGTCATGAGGAAGATAAGCGTGGGATTCTTATGGAGAGAGACTGACTCGGTGAGGTCTGTACCAACAGAGACAGGGAAACAGGAGACATAAGTACAGACCAGGTGTCATAACAGAGGACAGACACAGGGGCCATACGGGGAAGTAGAAAAGAGAGAAAGAGGTAAAGGAGACACTCAGACAGACAGACATGTGCCAGAGAGAAGTGTCCTTCCATGCTGACTTTGCTCAGAGACCTGGCACAGGTTAGAAGTTTCATTTCTGTTTTGTCTCCACAAAGTGCTTCTACGAGGAGAACCCAAGGACACCCATATTTCTGACCTGAGTTGGGCCCTGTGGCCTCAGGCCTTGTGGCATCTACAGATGCCATGTTTATTCTGACACCTCTGCCTTCCATGCAGTGGAGCCATAATTATCCCAGGATATCATGGCCCCAGAACACCAACCCCTAAATACTGTGTGTACTTGGTGTCCCCAGACTAGATTCTGAGGCTCATATTCCAAATAATCCTACATATAATAGGATCACTGAGAGACACAGAGATAAATCAGGGACTTCAAAAAGCAAAGGCATAAACACACAGAGAATGAGCCAGAGGAAGGGGATTGAGAGACTCACAGACACACAAAAAGAAAGAAAAGAGGGCAGAGGAGTGGAGAGAATGCTGGAAGGGAGGAGAGAAAAGCCCCAAAATCAGAACCCTGAGGGAGGGGCACAAAGACAGAGAAAGATAAAGATGTGGGGATGGATTGCAGAGATTCCAAATAGAACTAGAGAGACTGAGAGGCAGAGAAAGACAAGGAGATGGAGAGAGACAGATGATAGATGGATAGATAGATATAGATAGATGATAAATAGGTAGATGATAGATAATGGATAGGTTATAGATACATAGATGATGATTGATAGATGATACATAGAGATGATGATGATGATGATGATGAAGATAGATAGAAGACACATATATAAATATATAGATACATAGATGATACATAGAGACTGACAGGCAGACAGAGAGGTAATAGAGAGAGAGAGAGATGATACATAGATACAGATAATACATAGATGATTGATGGATAGACAGATAGACAATTGATAGATAAATGATACATAGATATAGATGACAGATAATTTGTAGATAGACACAAAATAGATAGATAGATAATAGATAGAAATATGCAGAAAGTTATGAACAAGACAGAAAGTGAGAGACTCAGAATTATAGAAAAAGGAAGATCAAGTCAACCAATCCAAGGAGAGTCAGAGAGAATAAAACAATCCAAAAAGGGAAAGCATACCCAGGGGTGGGGAAGTGAGGTCAGAGACCTAGAGAGACAGAGAAGGCGGAAGGAGGAAATAGACATGAAGAGAGTTGGGGTGGAGGGTGAGAGAGAGAGAGAGCATTAGGTCATAGAGCAGGGGAGTGAGTTCTCAGCTCAGGTATGAGGGGAGCTGTGACAAGGAAGAACCTCCCTGAGGAAACTGCCTCTTCTCCTTCCAGGTCTATATGAGAAACCTTCTCTCTCAGCCCAGCCGGGCCCCACGGTTCAGGCAGGAGAGAACGTGACCTTGTCCTGTAGCTCCTGGAGCTCCTATGACATCTACCATCTGTCCAGGGAAGGGGAGGCCCATGAACGTAGGCTCCGTGCAGTGCCCAAGGTCAACAGAACATTCCAGGCAGACTTTCCTCTGGGCCCTGCCACCCACGGAGGGACCTACAGATGCTTCGGCTCTTTCCGTGCCCTGCCCTGCGTGTGGTCAAACTCAAGTGACCCACTGCTTGTTTCTGTCACAGGTGAGGAAAACCCGTGTCTGTCCCATGTCTTATGATCCTAGAGCCATAGCTGAGGAGCTTCCTGCCGATGATGGGGAGAAGCATGGACAGATGCAGAGAGAACACGAAGACTGGGTGTGAGGGGGGGTCAGGGTGCAGGATGGCAGACAGGGCACCTCCAAACCCTCTTGCATGGCCTGCATGGAGGCCCATGGTCAGGGCTCCAGGCACCCAGGCAGATGGAGAAAGCGGTCAGGACAGACCCAGAGAAGGGGAGACTGGGCTCAGTTTGGGGAGATCAGAGGTTCCCTCAGCCCCTCAACCTTACCCATTTCCCAGAAGCCCATCCTGGCCTCTCACCCACACAGAGAGATGTCATCACCAGCAACCCCTACACTCTTTTCTTTTCATTTTCAAAAATATTTATTGAGGTTAAATGTAACTATATAATTTACCAACTTTACCATTTTTAAAAGTAAAATCTAGTGGTCATAAATACCTTTATATGCTGGGTGTGGTGGTTCACGGTTGTAATCTTGGCGCTTTGAGAGGCCAAGAAAGGTGGATCATTTAAGATCAGGGACTCGAGATCAGCCTGGCCAACATGCGGGAAATTCATCTTTACTAAACAGACAAGAAAAATTAGCCAAGCATGCCGGCATGCACCTGTAGTCCTAGCTACTTGGGAGGCTGAGGCAGGAGAAGCACTTAAAGCCAGGAGGCAGAGGTTGCACTGAGCCGAGATCATGCCACTGCACTGCAGCCTGGGAGACAGAGAGAGACTCTGTTTCTAAATAAATAAATACATCTATATTCTTTTTTTTGTTACCTTCCACCCTTCCCTTCCTGGCCTCTGGTATCCACCATTCTATTCTCTACCTTCATGAGATCCACCTTTTATCTCCTGCATGTGGTGAGAAATGGGAATCTTTGTAATGACCTCCAGTTCCATCCATGTGGCTGCAAATGACAGGATGTTATTGTTTCTATGGATGAGTAGTCTCCACCGTGTGTGTGTACTACAGTTCTCTATCCATTCACCCACTGATAGGCAGGTAGGTTGACTCCACATCTTGGCTACTGTGAACAGTGCTGGAACAGTCATATGAGTGCAGATATCACTTCGATACACTGATGTCCTTTCCTTTGGATATAAACCCAGTAGTGAAATTGCTGGACACTATGAAAGTTCTCTTTTTTTTTTTTTCTTTTTTGAGAAAGAGTTTCCCTCCTTAGTCCAAGCTGGAGTCAAAGTGGTGCGATCTTGGCTCATTGCAACCTCTGCTTCCTAGGTTCAAACGATTGTCCTGACTCAGCCTCCCTAATAGCTGTGATTACAGGTGCACGCCACCATGCCTGACTAATTCTTGTATTTTTTAGCACAGACGGGATATCCCAATTTTGGGCAGGCTGCTCTCAAACTCCTGACCTCAAGTGAGGTGCCTGCCTCGGTTTCCCAAAGTGCTGAAGTTACAGGCATAAGCCACTATGCCCAGCCTCCTTTTAGTTTTTTAAAGATTTTCCATACTTTTCTCCATAATAGTTGTACTAATTTACATTCCTACCAACAGGGTACCAGGGTTCTCCTTTCTCTACCATCTTGCCAGCATTTGTTTTGCCTGTCTTGCAGATAAAAGCCATTTTACTTTACTTTATTTATTTATTTATTTATGTTGAGATGGAGTTTCACTCATAGTCGCCCAGGCTGGAGTGCAAGGGTGTGATCTCGGCTCACTGCAACCTCTGCCTCCCGCGTTCAACTGATTCTCCTGCCTCAGCCTCCAAAGTAGCTGGGATTACAGGCATGTGCCACCACGCCTAGCTAATTTTTGTATGTTTAGTAGAGAGGGAGTTTCTCCATGTTGGTCAGGCTGGTCTCCCGACCTCAGGTGATCCGCCCACCTCCGCCTCCCAAAGTGCTGGAATTACAGGCGTGAGCCACCGGCCTAAAAGGCATTTTAATGGGATGAGATGAAAACTCATCGCGATTGTAATTTACATTTCTGTGATGATGAGTGATGCTGAGCACTTTTTCATATACGTGATCGCCATTTCTATGTTTTGTTTGTGGAGAAATGTCTCCTCATGTCTTTTGCTCGTTTTTTAATTAAATTGTTTTATTGAGTTGTTTGAGCTTCTTATATTTCCAGTTATTAATCCCATCTCAGATGAATAGTTTGCAAATATTTGCTCCTATTTTGTGGGTTGTCTCTTCACTTTGTTGGTTTATCTTTGGTGGTGCAGAAGTTGCTTGGTTTGATGTAATCCTAATGGTCTATTTTTTGCTTTGATTACTTGTGTTTTGAAGGTTTTAAACAAAATGTCTTTCGTCAGACAAATGTCTTCCCCATTATTTTCTTCTACATGTTTCATAGGTTCAGGCCTTAGACTCATGTTTTTAATCCATTTTCATTTGATTTTTGTGTAAGGTGACAGGTATAGATGCAGTTTTATTCCTCTGCATGTAGATATCCAGTTTTCCCCACACCATTTATTGAAGACTGTCCTTTCCTGATTGTAAGTTCTCGGCACCTTTGTCAAAGTCCATTAAATGGGCTGGGTATGGTGGCTCACACCTGCAATTCCAGCACTTTGGGAGGCCGAGGCGGGTGGATCACCTAAAGCCAGGAGTTCAAGACCAGGCTGGCCAACAGAGTGAAACCTCGTCTCTACTAAAAATACAAAAATTAGCTGAGCATGGTGATCAGTGCCTGTAATACCACTACTCAGGAGTTTGAAGCAAGAGAATTTCTTGAATCCAGGAAGTGGAGGTTGCATTGAGCTGAGATTGCACCTCTACACTCCAGCCTGCATGACAGAGCAAGATTCTATCACACACACACAAAAGAAAGCCATTGGATGTAAATGCATGGATTATATCTGTGTTCTCCATTCTGTTCCATTTTTTATGTGCCTTTCTTTATGCCAATGTCATGCTGTTTTGCTTACTACAGCTCTGTAACATATTTCTAAGTCAGGTAGTGTGATGCTCCTGTTTTCTCTTTATACCTTCAAGTCTCAAGACAGTGGGCATCGCACACAAAAATTATGGAGAAAAGGATCCCAAGACTCCCAGGGTCCAACATTAGATAACAGAGTGTTGGCCATGAACCAACCTCAAAGATTTCCATTGAGTAGAGGACAAGCACCCTCATTTCCTCACATCTCTCCTGTCCCGTGTTCTAGGAAACCCTTCAAGTAGTTGGCCTTCACCCACAGAACCAAGCTCCAAATCTGGTGAGTAAAGGACCCCTCTTATCTCTGCTTTTGGAAACCTGGGGAGGTGGAAGCCTTGGATGCAAGTGTTGGCTCAAACCTCCCAGCTCTGTGAATGAGGGCCTGTCTTCCACCATCTCTGAACTCCAGACACTCCAACAGTGAAAGGGATCTAGGGCCACCAAAGGGCTCAGCGAAGTCTCTTTACCTTTAATTTCCTGCAGGTGAGACCTCCTACAAGCTAGAAGAATAATTGCCAATCTGACATCCTTCTCAGGAAAAATGCAGTGTTTTTTCTGCCTGCATTCCTAACTGGAGGATAAATTCCCGGGGGCTTGAGAGAGGGAAGGGAAGGGAACATCTGATGAGGGTGGGTGTTTTAGAGAAGTTCCACTTGCCAAGGAATGAATTACTGTTGGTCATCAGGCAACCCTGGCTGACTCAGCAGAGCAAGAGCCTTGCCGTAACAGAGAACAGAGCTCATGCACGCACACTTCGACTCAGTGACTCATTCAGCCACAGCCCCATGCTCAGGCTGTGCAGTGTGGAAGCTTTTCCTATTGTTGCCATAACAAATTTCCACAAGATTCGTGTGTGAAAACAAAACGGTTATTTAATTATCTTACAGTGCTGTAGCTCAAAGCATGACGTGCATGTCACTGGGCTAAAATCAAGGTGACAGCAAGGCTGCCTTCCCTCTGAGGGTTCCAGGCAAGAATCTGCTTCTCACTTTTCTCAGCTTCTAGAGGCTCCCATGTTCCTTGGCTCCTGGTACCCTTCCTCCTTCCTCAAAGCCCACAAAGACTGGTCACATCTCACATGGCATCACTCAGACCCTTCTTCCTTACCACACCTCTTTCTCTGAATGCTGCTCTCCCTTCTTGCCCTTCTTTTGAAAACTTGGGGATTCTATTGGGTTCACCAAGATGAAAATCCATCATAATCTCCCGGAAATCATCCAGGATACCCTCCTTTTAAGTTCAGCTGACTAGCAACCATAATTCCATCTGCAATCTTCATTCCTCCTTTCATGTAAAATAACATATTCACAAGCTATGGAGGCTAGGACATGGACATTTTTGGGGTGGGACAACATTCTCCTGCCTTCCACAAACAGTGAACAAGATGCATTTGGCCTCTGTTCTTGGGACACTGATCTTGCAGATGGTTAAATGGGAGGGCAGAAAATGTAGGCACAAGGGGACCAATAAATGAATGATCTATTGAGAAGCATCTGTGCATGAAATCTATTTATTTATGTATTTACCTACTTGTTTATTGAGACGGAGCCTTGCTCTGTCGTCCAGGCTAGAGTGCGGTGGCATGATCTCGGCTCACTGCAACCTCCACCTCCTGGGCTGAACTGATCTCCTCCCTCAGCCTCTCCAGTAGCTGGGATTACAGACCACAACCACCACGCCCGGCTAACTCTTTTTGCATATTTTCTGTAGAGAGGATGTTTCACCATGTTGGCCAGGCTGGTCTCAAATTCCCAACCTCAGGTGATCCAATAGCCTCTGCCTCCCAACACGCTGGGATAAGAGGCATGAGCCACGGGGCCAAGCCAAATTTTCAAATCAATAATAGATAATGCTGAGAGTATTATTTCAGGTGACAGAGAAGTTCTCACTAATCAGATATTTGTGACATTAATGAAAAACACGGATTGAACCCCTGAAAGATTGGCGGAAGGATTTTGCACACACAGCTGTCAGCCGTGAAGGCACAAAGGTGAAAACAATCTGATGTGGAAGGAAGAGGCTCTGCCTGAAATGCTGGGAATGAGGTGGGGAGAATGACAAGATGACTGTAGAGAGACGGAGAGCACACTGGGTACACAGGAAACTAAGGAGCAACAAGGAGCGTGTGTTTGACACTCACAGCCATTGGATTCACCTCGAGGTAACCAGGAATCCCTACATGATTAATATGACTGACATGAAAATAAGGGAGGCTCAGTTGCATAACTGGAATCTAGGAGACCGTGGAAAAGGCAATTGCCGCCCCACTGGTGAAATGTGGTGCTGATTTAGACACTAAATGAATGAAGTAGATGGATATAAGATATGTTTGTGAGGTAGAATCATTGGCTGGAAAGGCTTGCTGGGTTTAATTTTTCCTGGTAGTTTAATCCTCGCTTCACTAACTTATTTCTGAGATTTATTTCTCCTGCATCTAAATCAATACCTGGCAGAGGAGGGAGAGCTAGATGAGGGGTGGTGCAAATGAAGGGACCTAGTATAGCATAATATACAAGGCTGTGAACGGTGGCTCACGCCTATAACCCAGCACTTCAGGAGGCCAACGCGGGTGGATCACATGAAGTCAGGAGTTCGAGACCAGCCTGGCCAACATGGAGAAACCCTATCTCTACTAAAAATACAAAAATTAAACAGGCATGATGGTGGTGCATGACTGTAATCCCAGCTACTCTGGAGGAGGAAGCAGGAGAATGACTTCAGCCCTGGAGGCAGAGGTTGCAGTGAGTGGAGATCGCATCACTGCACACCAGCCTGGGCTACACAGGGATACTCTGTCTCAAAAAATAAAAATAAAAAATACATAAATATAATAATATACACAAATGATGCAGGCACCTGAATTCCAATCATCATTTTTCTATTCCTCTATAATTACTTCTTTGATCCTTTATCTTATCCATTAGAAAATCAGCCTAAAACCTCTTCCATATTTGGCTTTCTGTGAACATGAGATCATATGGAAAATATGAAAGCCCCCTGAACCCACCAGCACAGGCCCTGAAATAGGGAAAGTGCTCTGTTCATCACAAGAAACTTTCCCCCTCACCCAAATCCCCCACCTCACCCCTACTTCCAATCACCTGTGGAGATACAGATAGATCATGGGGAGGTAAACGCTAATACTCCTTGGAGTGAGTTCAGATCTTGGAATCAGAGATCAGCACCAGCACTAGCTCCTGCTCCCCTTTCCTACTAATTCACAGGAGGACAGGTGGTTTTGAAGCAATAGATGGTGGAGGGGGTGGTCTTTCCCCCAGCCTCTCAGGTGGAACAGCAGCCTAACATGTGTCTCGCGAGATCACAAAGAGTAGCACGTTTCACATGGGCTTCATCATTATTTCCTGGCTGTTTGACATAAGAGAATTCTACTTTGCTTTTTTGATCTTGATTTCACTTTTGTGTCCTTTTCTTGGAGAATGTAATTTGAGTCAAGAGGGTTGTGGATGTAGAAACTGTAAAGCACATTCACTGTGTATCAATCCCAGTCCAGTCTTTCCAGAGAAGACTCTAAACACCTGCTGTACTGCACCTGGGCCTATGCCAATTTCTATCACTCACCGTCACTCCAGGGAGACAGAACACACAGAGAATACGTTACATAGGCAGGTTCATTACTAACAGATAAGCAGCGAGTGACAACAGAAGCCTACATTTCAACGTGAGCCAGTCCCTCAAGGCTCAGAAAAGCTGCTCGGGACATATGGAGTCACCTCATTTGCAGTGTATCTGGGG
This sequence comes from Homo sapiens, assembly GCF_000001405.40. NCBI lineage: Eukaryota > Metazoa > Chordata > Mammalia > Primates > Hominidae > Homo > Homo sapiens. The sequence continues at coordinate 844,542 of NW_003571058.2, forward strand.
GAAGCCAGAAAATAGCCCAGCCTGGGTTTTGTACCCTGAAGCCACAGGAAGCACTCAGCTAAAGCACTGCATGACGTCCTCCTCCAGGAAGAACAGGAAGACAGCACAGGCTGTTCTGAGACGTTCCTCCTGATCTCAGGACGTTGCTGTCTTAGTCCATTTTTGTTGCTATAAAAGAACACTTGAGCCTGGGTTACTTCTTTTTTTTTTTTTTTTTTTTTTTGTATAGTGCTTCTGATGAGCTTTTTTTTAAAATTTTTATTATTATTATACTTTAAGTTTTAGGGTACATGTGCACAATGTGCAGGTTAGTTACATATGTATACATGTGCCATGCTGGTGTGCTGCACCCATCAACTCGTCATTTAGCATTAGGTATATCTCCTAATGCTATCCCTCCCCCCTCCCCCCACCCCACAACAGTCCCCAGAGTGTGATGTTCCCCTTCCTGTGTCCATGTGTTCTCATTGTTCAATTCCCACCTATAAGTGAGAACATGCGGTGTTTGGATTTTTGTCCTTGTGATAGTTTACTGAGAATGATGATTTCCAATTTCATCCATGTCCCTGCAAAGGACATGAACTCATCATTTTTTATGGCTGCATAGTATTCCATGGTGTATATGTGCCACATTTTCTTCATCCAGTCTATCATTGTTGGACATTTGGGTTGGTTCCAAGTCTTTGCTATTGTGAATAGTGCCACAATAAACATACGTGTCCATGTGTCTTTATAGCAGCATGATTTATAGTCCTTTGGGTTTATACCCAGTAATGGGATGGCTGGGTCAAATGGTATTTCAAGCTCTAGATCCCTGAGGAATCGCCACACTGACTTCCACAATGGTTGAACTAGTTTACAGTCCCACCAACAGTGTAAAAGTGTTCCTATTTCTCCACATCCTCTCCAGCACCTGTTGTTTCCCGACTTTTTAATGATCGCCATTCTAACTGGTGTGAGATGGTATCTCATTGTGGTTTTGATTTGCATTTCTCTGATGGCCAGTCATGGTGAGCATTTTTTCATGTGTTTTTTGGCTGCATAAATGTCTTCTTTTGAGAAGTGTCTGTTCATGTCCTTTGCCCACTTTTTGATAGGATTGTTTGTTTTTTTCTTGTAAATTTGTTTGAGTTCATTGTAGATTCTGGATATTAGCCCTTTGTCAGATGAGTAGGTTGCGAAAATTTTCTCCCATTTTGTAGGTTGTCTGTTCACTCTGATGGTAGTTTCTTTTGCTGTGCAGAAGCTCTTTAGTTTAATTAGATCCCGTTTGTCAATTTTGGCTTTTGTTGCCGTTGCTTTTGGTGTTTTAGACATGAAGTCCTTGTCCATGCCTATGTCCTGAATGGTAATGCCTAGGTTTTCTTCTAGGGTTTTTATGGTTTTAGGTCTAACGTTTAAGTCTTTAATCCATCTCAAATTAATTTTTGTATAAGGTGTAAGGAAGGGATCCAGTTTCAGCTTTCTACCTATGGCTAGCCAGTTTTCCCAGCACCATTTATTAAATAGGGAATCCTTTCCCCATTGCTTGTTTTTCTCAGGTTTGTCAAAGATCACATAGTTGTAGATATGTGGCATTATTTCTGAGGGCTCTATTCTGTTCCATTGATCTATATCTCTGTTTTGGTACCAGTACCATGCTGTTTTGGTTACTGTAGCCTTGTAGTATAGTTTGAAGTCAGGCAGCATGATGCCTCCAGCTTTGTTCTTTTGGCTTAGGATTGACTTGGCAATGCAGGCTCTTTTTTGATTCCATATGAACTTTAAGGTAGTTTTTTCCAATTCTGTGAAGAAAGTCATTGGTAGCTTGATGGGGATGGCATTGAATCTATAAATTACCTTGGGCAGTATGGCCATTTTCACGATCTTGATTCTTCCTACCCATGAGCATGGAATGTTCTTCCATTTGTTTGTATCCTCTTTTATTTCATTGAGCAGTGGTTTGTAGTTCTCCTTGAAGAGGTCCTTCATATCCCTTGTAAGTTGGATTCCTAGGTATTTTATTCTCTTTGAAGCAATTGTGAATGGGAGTTCACTCATGATTTGGCTCTCTGTTTGTCTGTTATTGGTGTATAAGAATGCTTGTGATTTTTGTACATTGATTCTGTATCCTGAGACTTTGTAGAAGCTGCTTATCAGCTTAAGGAGATTTTGGGCTGAGACAATGGGGTTTTCTATATATACAATCATGTCATCTGCAAACAGGGACAATTTGACTTCCTCTTTTCCTAATTGAATACCCTTTATTTCCTTCTCCTGCCTAATTGCCCTGGCCAGAACTTCCAACACTATGTTGAATAGGAGTGGTGAAAGAGGGCATCCCTGTCTTGTGCCAGTTTTCAAAGGGAATGCTTCCAGTTTTTGCCCATTCAGTATGATACTGGCTGTGGGTTTGTTATAGATGGCTCTTATTATTTTGAGATACGTCCCATCAATGCCTAATTTATTGAGAGTTTTTAGCATGAAGCGTTGTTGAATTTTGTCAAAGGCCTTTTCTGCATCTATTGAGATAGTCGTCCGGTTTTTGTCTTTGGTTCTGTTTATATGATGGATTACATTTATTGATTTGCATATATTGAACCAGCCTTGCATCCCAGAGCCTGGGCAACTTCTAGAGAAAACAGATTTGTTTGCCTCACAGTTCTGCAGGCTGTACTGGAAGCATGGCACCAGCATCTGTTTCCTGTGACGGCCTCAGGCTGCTCCCACTCTGGCAGAAGGGAAGGAGGGTCTGTCTGTGCAGAGACCACAGAGATCACATGGCAAGAGAGGGAGCAAGGGGGAGGGCGAGCGATGGAGCTTCCAAGCTCTTTTTAACAACCAGCCCTCCGGGAACTAATAGAGGGGGAACTTGCTAACCCCATCATGTGGGGCAGCATTAATCTATTCATGATGGATCCACCTCCATGACTCAAACACCTTCCCATAGGCCCAAACTTCCACACTGGGGGTTAAATTTCAATATTTCAGTGTGAGGTTTCAAAGGGTCAAACATCTAAACTAAAGCAGCTGTATCCTCAGCATGTTCTATGGTTTCTATGAGAGCTGTAACTGAGAAAGCAGGAGAAAGCTGGGTCTCCCGCCATCAGGCTGCTTGTCCTAAGGAGATGTTCCATGTGGTTACCTGTCAATCAAGAAATGAGACAATCCATAAAGAGGAACTGCTATGATTAGCTTCTTATTGGATTCCCATCTTCCTCCAGGTATCTGCAGACACCTGCATGTTCTGATTGGGACCTCAGTGGTCATCTTCCTCTTCATCCTCCTCCTCTTCTTTCTCCTTTATCGCTGGTGCTCCAACAAAAAGAGTAAGTCTCACGAAGCAGAGGCCAGAGAGCTCAGGGCCATGTGGGGAAGCAGGATGGGAGCACGCGGGTGTGTGTTCCTCACTGGCAGGATGGTCCCTGGCCCAAGGGAGGAGCCACAGAGGCAGGGCTTTCTAGAGAGAGCACCAGACAACCTGCCCCTGCCTTCAGCTCACAGACCATTGCCTGGTTCTGAACTGTATCCTCACATCCCCTGCAGCCACTGACATCCAGAAGCTTCCATGACAGGCAGAAAGTGGGAGACAGAATCAATGGGATGCCAATTGAGAGCACTTCATGGGATGGGGTCTTGAACTCAGAGAGATAGAATGTCTGAGTCTGGATGTTGGCAGCTGAAGAGCCTCAGGCACCTACAGCCTCCCCCTGTGGGTTGGTGTCTGCCCATGAAATGAGGACCCAGAAGGGCCCTCCAAGCGGTTTTGATGACTTCCGTCTCCTACAGATGCTGCTGTAATGGACCAAGAGCCTGCGGGGGACAGAACAGTGAATAGGCAGGTAGGTCCTCCTCGGCCCAGCCTCACGGATACAGTCTTATCCCTAATAGTCCTGAAAAATGTGAGCACCCTCCCTCACTCAGCATTTCCCTCTCTCCAGGACTCTGATGAACAAGACCCTCAGGAGGTGACGTACGCACAGTTGGATCACTGCGTTTTCATACAGAGAAAAATCAGTCGCCCTTCTCAGAGGCCCAAGACACCCCTAACAGATACCAGCGTGTACACGGAACTTCCAAATGCTGAGCCCAGATCCAAAGTTGTCTCCTGCCCACGAGCACCACAGTCAGGTCTTGAGGGGGTTTTCTAGGGAGACAACAGCCCTGTCTCAAAACCAGGTTGCCAGATCCAATGAACCAGCAGCTGGAATCTGAAGGCATCAGTCTGCATCTTAGGGGATCGCTCTTCCTCACACCACGAATCTGAACATGCCTCTCTCTTGCTTACAAATGCCTAAGGTCGCCACTGCCTGCTGCAGAGAAAACACACTCCTTTGCTTAGCCCACAAGTATCTATTTCACTTGACCCCTGCCCACCTCTCCAACCTAACTGGCTTACTTCCTAGTCCTACTTGAGGCTGCAATCACACTGAGGAACTCACAATTCCAAACATACAAGAGGCTCCCTCTTAACACGGCACTTACACACTTGCTGTTCCACCTTCCCTCATGCTGTTCCACCTCCCCTCAGACTATCTTTCAGCCTTCTGTCATCAGTAAAATTTATAAATTTTTTTTATAACTTCAGTGTAGCTCTCTCCTCTTCAAATAAACATGTCTGCCCTCATGGTTTCGATAATGTGACTCTTTATTCGCCAAAAGTTTCCAGTGTTATCATTACTATGTCCATATAACCTGATATGTTCTCTACTGGGTTCTCAGCCCTGGACTCTGAGCTTCTGGAAGCAGGGTGGAGCCTCATTTGTCTCTGGGACTCCAATTTCCATCCAAAGATGCAGCACATAGGAGGTTCCAAGGATCGTGAATCACATGAACAAGTGATATTCTTACTCTCTGCAGACCTGGAAAGCTGGCAGAGTCATTCCAAGATGAAACATTTGTAGAGTCATAGGCCTTGTTAGTCTCATCTCCACAGGGACACATGTCAACACATCATCTTTCATACTATAAATATACAGTCGCTCCTCCATATCTGTGGGGTTTACAGGTGTTTATTGAACCAAATATAAATCAAAAATATTCAGAGAAAAAATCCACAAAGTTCCAAAAAGCAAAAATACTATATTGTGTGGACACAAGTGAGGTGGTGTGTAGGCTGTATCAGGAATTATAAGTAATCTAGAGATGATTTCATGTATACAGGAGGATGTGCATGGGTTATATGCAAACGCTGTGCCATTTCATGCAACAGGCTTGAGCATCTGCAGATTTTGGTGTCTGGTAGGGAGGGGGGTTTCCTGGAACCAATCACCCATGAATAGTGAAGGACAACTGTATATAATTTTCATTCATCAATTTTATAAATAAATCATCAAAATGTATGATAATAAGATAAAAAATTAGCAGTGTTTTTATGGTGTGAAAATAAGCTTAGATTTATTTTTTCCTGCTTGTAACCCTCTGGTCCAATGTTATTTACTGAGAAGACATTCTATTCCACCTTAATCCGCATGGCAGCCTCTGTCAACTATAAAAGGACTGTGTGTACACAGATGTATTTTACACACTCTTTTCTGCTCAGTGGCTCTCTGTGTCCACTCTCATGAGGATGCTGCACTTTATGTGGCCTTATAGAACCCCTTAAAATTTGGCAGCCTGAATCCTCTAATTTCTCCTTCCTCTTTAAGATTGCCATTATTATTATTATTGGCTATTTGCTTTTCCATGTAAATTTGTAATCATTTTTCTCATTTCCACCAAAAACAATGCTTGTAATTTTGTTGTGACTCCCTTACATCTACAGGTAAGTTCTGTCCTATAGAAACATAATGCAAACCACATGCATTCTTTCAAACTTGCTAGTATCCAAATTAAAAAGCTAACAAGAAACAGATAAAATTAATTTAAGTTAACCCAATGGACCCAAAATATTATTAACCCAACAGACCCAAAATATTAACCTAATAGATCCAAAATATTATTTTATTATACAAGTAGACTCAAAATATTATCATTTCAACATGTAATCATGTGTCATCTTGGAAAACATCAGATCCCTGTCTAGGTGGGCAAAGATTTTTCTTCGTAATATCTCATTTCCACATTTCCACTTGGCACAGAAACTGCCCCCAAGGCTCAGGATACTAAGATGCAGTAGGAATGGGTAGATGTATCTGGAGGAAAGTGACTGAATGAAATTGAGACATCAGAGTCTGGGAAACTCACTAGAACTACAGGGACAGTGTGGGGGAGGGAATTGGGAGATGTTGATCAAAGGATACAAACTATCAGGTATTCAGGAGGAATGGGTCTGAAGATCTCTTGTACAGCTTTGCCACTATGGTTGACAATACTGTACTCTATACTTGAAATTTACCAGGAAAGTAGATTTTTTTTTTTAAATATGGAACACTTCACGAATTTGCGTGTCATTCTTGCGCAGGGGCCATGCTAGTTTTCTCTGTATCGTTCCAATTTTAGTATATGTGCTGCCGAGGCAAGCATGGGAGAGTAGATTTTTTTTTTTTTTTTTTTTTTTTGAGCTGGAGTCTTGCTCTGTCACCCAGGCTGGAGTGCAGTGGCGCGATCTCGGCTCACCGCAAGCTCCGCCTCCTGGGTTCACGCCATTCTCCTGCCTCAGCCTCCCGAGTAGCTGGGACTACAGGCGCCCGCCACCACGCCCTGCTAATTTTTTGTATTTTTAGTAGAGACGGGGTTTCACTGTGTTAGCCAGGATGGTCTCGATCTCCTGACCTCGTGATCCGCCTGCCTCGGCCTCCCAAAGTACTGGGATTACAGGCATGAGCCACCACGCCCGGCTGGGAGAGTAGATCTTAAGGGTCCTCACCACAAAAAAAAAAAAAAGAAAGAAAGAAAAAGAAACCATAGGCCGGGCGCGGTGGCTCACGCCTGTAATCCCAGCACTTTGGGAGGCCAAGACGGGCAGATCACTTGAGGTCAGGAGTTCAAGACCAGCATGGCCAACATGGTGAAACCCTGTCTCTACTAAAAATGCAAACATTAGCCAGGCGTGGTGACACAAGCCTGTAATCCCAGCTACTCAGGAGGCTGAGGCACGAGAATTGCTGGAACCTGGGAGCGGAGGTTGCAGTGAGCCAAGATGGCACCACTGCACTCTAGCCTGGGGGACAGAGTAAGACTTCCTCTCAAAAAAAAAAAAAAAAAAAAACAATAACCCTGCGAGATGATGGATATAACTAGCTTGACTATGATGATCATGTCACCATGTATACATACATCAAAACATCAAGTGTAATACACCTTAAATATATACAATTTCCATTTGTCAATCATATCTCAATAAAGCTAAAAGAAACCTCTAAGTTTCAACTTTATTTTCAGAAAGCTGTGCCATGCTTACCTCAGTGCCTAAGTATACTCTAATTCATGGAAATGGCCTTTAAAACTGCAGAGAGTGGCTGGGTGCAGTGGCTCACGCCTATAATCCCAGCACTTTGGGAGGCGGAGGTGGGCAGATCACGAGGTCAGGAGTTCAAGATCAGCCTGGCCAACATGGTGAAACTCTGTCTCTACTAAAAATACAAAAAATAGCTGGGCATGGTGGCAGGTGCCTGTAAATCTGAGATACTCAGGAGGCTGAGACAGGAGAATCGTTTGAACTGGGGAGGCAGAGGTTGCAGTGAGCCGAGATCCTGCCATTGCACTCCAGCCTGGGCGACAGGGTGAGACTCCATCTCAAAAAAAAAAAAATACTGCAGAGAGTTAAGGCCCTCACTGGACACTCTCCGGTACCTCTGAGGTCAGTGGATAGAGAAGCAGCTCCCCTTCTTCTTCCTCGAAACAAAGGCCTCCTTCCTTCTTAGGTGTTTGAGACAAATTCTCCACACAGGTGCAGCTGAGTGCTGTAAAGTCCCACTGAGAGTTGAAGGTCCCCACTGCCAGTCACAGTTCGGTCCCACTGAGGGTTGAAGGTCCCCACTGCCAGTCACAGTTTGGTCCCATTGAGGGTTGAGAGTCTCCACTGCCAGTCACAGTTTGGTCCCATTGAGGGTTGAGAGTCTCCACTGCCAGTCAGTTTGGGCTTATTAGGGTTTATGCTGTGCACGGAGAATGGAACCTACCAATCAACTCTTAGTGACCAGTTAGACAGATTCAAGGCAAATTTCCCTGCTGGGAAATCCCAAATCCCAAAATATGCAGAGACCAATAGATGCCTCAATTCTTCCGTGTCTCCGTCTAAATCCTTGGGTCACTGTGACTCCTGTAGTTATGTGGCTTGTAATTCCTTGGGCCGTAGAATGGCTATGATAGGCCCTGTGCTAAGGGGACTGGTGACAGTTGAGACAGGAACATGGAAGCTATAGTAGTCAGGGTTCTCCAGAAAAAAAAATAATCAACACTAATAATGATAGATATATAGATAATGATTGATAGACAAATAATGATAGATATATAATGATATCACAAATAATGATAGACATATAGTTGGATAATGACAGATATATAATGATTGATACACAGATAGGGTATTTATATATTGGCTTATGCAACTATGTAGACTGACAGGTCCCATGATCTGCCATCTGCAAGCTGGAGACCCAGGGGAGTCCACGTGTAGTTCCAGTCTACGTGCAAAAGTCTGAGAACCAGTAGAGTTAGTGGTATACGTAACAGTCCAAAAGCTAGCAGGCTCATGCCGGGCATGATGGCTCACGCCTGTAATCCCAACACTTTGGGAGACCAAGGCAGGCAGATCACCTGAGGTCAGAGTTCAAGACCAGCCCGGCCAACATGGTGAAACCCCATCTTTACTAAAAATACAAAAATTAGCCGGGCATAGTGGCATTCGCTTGTAATCCCAGCTACTCAGAGGCTGAGGTACGAGAATTGCTTGAACCCAAGAGGTGAAGGTTGCAGTGAGCCGAGATCATGCCACAGCACTCCAGCCTGGGTGACAGAGTGAGACTCTATCTCAAAAAAACAAACAAACAAAAAAAGCTGGCAGGCTTAACATCTAAAGAGTCAATGTTTTAGTGAGAGTTCAAGAGCCAGAAAAGACTGATGTCCAGGCAAAAGGAACTTCATCTTACATTACCAGTTCAATGTTTTGTTCTATTCAGGTCCCACCTGATTGAATGAGGCCGACTCACATTAGGGAGAGCAATCTGCTTTATAAATTACACTAATTCCATTGATAATCTCATTCAGCAACACCCCCACAGACACACACAGAATAATGTTTAACCAAATATCTCAGCACCCCATGGCTACGTTACCATTCCTGTTCCACAAAAGGAGGAAACAAAAGAACAAAACCACACCAAATGTTGTGGTAAGTTGACAAAATCTGTTCCAGCCCATTAGTAAATATTGGCCACTGAAGTTCCTGAAATTCAACAATTAGTAAGTATCTCTCTCCCAATAGAAAGCCACGTCATTTGTAAACCATAACAATAGCTTTTGTTTTTTTGAGACACAGTCTCGCTCTGTGTTGCCCAGGCTGGAGTGCAGTGATCTTGGCTCACTGCAACCTCTGCCTCCTGGGTTCAAGTGGCTCTCCTGCCTCAGCCTTCCGAGTAGCTGGAATTACAGGCACCCGCCACCACACCCAAGTAATTTTTTATATTTTTAGTAGAGACTGGGTTTCACCACATTGACCAGGCTGGTCTTAAATTCCTGAACTCAAGTGATTCACCTGCCTTGGCCTCCCAAAGTGCTGGGATTACAGGCATGAGCTACTGCACCCAGCCAACAATAGTATTTTTAATTAGGTCATCCTGCCTTTACAATCTCTGCATTTTAAATACTCAACTAAGAGTACAGCCATTATTTGTCTTTCACCCAAAGTCCCATTCAAGTGAGAACAAAGGAATGAATAAATAAGGCATAAGTAACAAAACAACAAAAAAAGAAAATTAGAATGCGGTCAATTTCATGCAATCATCAACACCAAATTTCCAGAACGTAGTATTTCCAAATTTCCCGAACGTAAATATGTATGTGGAAATTAACAAAATGTGGCAAAACAAAAGGTCACTTAAATTTGCACAAATGAAACAGTCAACATGGAAGCTGATCGGCTTTCTGAAATATGGGACAAGCTCAGGACTTCAAAATACTTCGGCGTTGGAAGGGCTAAGTTATGATGTATTAAAATGAAAATAAAGTGGGGCGCGGTGGCTCACGCCTGTAATCCCAGCACTTTGGGGGACCGAAGTGGGTGGATCACGAGGTCAGGAGATCGAGACCATCCTGGCTAACACGGTGAAACCCCGTTTCTACTGAAAATACAAAAAAAATTAGCCGGGCGTGGTGGCGGATGCCTGTAGTCCCAGCTACTCGGGAGGCTGAGGCAGGAGAATAGCATGAACCCGGGAAGTGGAGCTTGCAGTGAGCTGAGATCACGCCACTGCACTCCAGCCTGGGCGACAGAGCAAGACTCCGTCTCAAAAAAAAAAAAAGAATAAATAAAATAAAATAAAATAGTAGAAGGTTTAATTAGGAATATTTCACTCTCCATACCTGAAGAATTCGTGATAGCCAGGAGTCTACAATCAAAATAACATAAATAATAAGATAAAAATAAAATTAATTTGAAGCCATAAAAAAAGAATGAGTTCATATGTTTTGTGGAAACATGGATGGAGCTGGAGGCCATTATCCTTAGCAAACTATACAAGAACAGAACACCAAATACAGCAGGTTCTCACTTATAAGTGGAAGCTAAATAATAGAACTCATGAACACAAAAAAGGGAAAAACAGACAATGGGGTCTCCTTTAGGGTGGAGGGTGGGAGGCGGGAAAGGAGCAGGCAAAGTAACTATTAGGTACCAAGCTTATTACCTAGGTGATGAAATAATCT
>NW_003571059.2:705632-789619 GCF_000001405.40 Homo sapiens
GGAACATTCACCAAAATAAATTTTTAAATGCTGAATCATAGGTAATATGATAGATGAAACAGTTGAATTAAATTATAAATGTACAACAAGGAAATGCTGGGGAAATTATCAAATATTTTAAAATTAATAAACACACATAGCAATAAACAATGAGTGGAAGAAAAACATTTCAAAGAAAGGTGGAAAATATTTTGTATCAATTAAAAATGAAAACACATCTCGGCAAATGACTGGGGATACAGATAGTACAGCGTTAAGGGACAATAAGCCTCAAATGTCTGTGTTAGAAAAGAAGGAAGAGCTGAGTAAATAGGTAACTTTCACTTGCAGAAATACTACACATCAGCAAATTAATTCCAAAGTAACGTCGAGGAAAAACATAAAATGGCAAGCAAATATATACGTGCATATGTACATACATTCATAAATGACAAACAGGACAGAAAAATCAGTGACATCAATTTTGTTCCTTAGAAGAAACAGGAAAATTGACCCCAAAAAACTTTCCAGGCCACATTTGGTCATGATGGAAATATTTTGGCACTTCCTGGTTAAGCTCAACACCAACTTGCACCCAAAACCAATAATTTCATTTCTAGGTAAATATGTCTAATTAATTCAGCATATGTATGCAAGGGATCACACAGAAACACGATTATCAAGGCCCGAGTTATAAAAGAGAAAATCCGGAAACAACACAAATGTCCATGATAAAAAGAATGGATAATTACATGTTGATAAAGTTATGCATGGACTATTAAACTGCAATCCAAAAGAATAAAATAGAGCTATAAAATTCAATATGTATATGGTGTCATAGAAACACAAATGTGAGAAAAAGAAAGAAAAATACAAAATTTATATTTTTTAAAATTTGAAACAACTATATATGTGAGTGCTTAGGGTGTGTGTGTGTGTGTGTGTGTGTGTGTATAACCATATGTATATAAATGCACACATACGCACACATATAGAATGTCCCGGCCAGGCATGGTGGCTCACACCTGTAATCTCAGCACTTTGGGAGGCTGAAGTAGACAGATCACTTGAGGTTAGGAGTTCAAGACCAGCCTGGCCAACATGGAGAAACCTCCTCTCTACTAAAAGTACAAAAATTAGGTGGGCGTGGTGGTGGGTGCCTGTAAATCCAGCTACTTAGGAGGCTGAGGCACGAGAATTGCGTGAACCTGGGAGGTGGAGGCTGCAATGAGCCGAGGTCTCACCACTGCATTCCAAACTGGGTGACGAAGTGAGATTGCGTCTCAAAAAAAAAAAAAGTTCTAAAAGTTGTGACTTGGGTGTGGCAGATTGTGACATACTGCCAGCTGCTAGAAATGCTGGGGCAGGAGGATTGCTTGAACTCTGAAGTCAAAGAACAGCCTGGGGAAAATAGCACATGAAGAAGAGTTTGAATCTCAGATAAAAACAACAAAAATACATCAAAAGTCTTTAATGTAAGCCAAGCATTCAGTCATCTCCTGTATGAGAGATTGGATCTGAGACGTGTTTTGAGTTGGTTATAGTGAAGGATGCAAGGTGTCAATTCTAGTTGGAACAATTTCCAGGAAGCCATGTTCTGCTCTTGACCAAACAGCCACTGGGCCTCATGCAAGGTAGAAATAGCCTGCATACGTCATCCTCCCATGATGTGGTCAGCATGTAAACTGCATGAGCCCCTCACAACATCCTGTGTGCTGCTGAACTGAGCTGGGGCGCAGCCGCCTGTCTGCACCGGCAGCACCATGTCGCTCATGGTCGTCAGCATGGCGTGTGTTGGTGAGTCCTGGAAGGGAATCGAGGGAGGGAGCGGTGGGGTGGAGATCTGGGCCTGGAGTGGAGATATGGGCCTGGAGTGGAGATATGGGCCTGGAGTGGAGATATAGGCCTGGAGTGGAGATATGGGCCTGGGGTGGAGATATGGGCCTGGAGTGGAGATATGGGCCTGGAACTGTAGATATGGGCCTGAAGTAGAGATATGGGCCTGGAGTAGAGATATGGGCCTGGAACTGTAGATATGGGCCTGGAGTGGAGATATTGGCTTGGAGTGCAGATATGGACCTGGAATTGAGATACGGGCCTGGAGGTGGAGATATGGGCCTAGAGTGGAGATATGGGCCTGGAGGTGGAGATATGGGCCTGGAACTGTAGATATGGGCCTGGAGTAGAGATATGGGCCTGGAGTGGAGATGTTGGCTTGGAGTGCAGATATGGGCCTGGAATGGAGACACGGGCCTGGAGGTGGAGATACAGGCCTGGAGGTGGAGATATGGGCCTGGAGTGTAGATATGGGCCTGGAGTAGAGATATAGGACAGAGGTGGAGATATAGGCCTGGAGTGGAGATATGGGCCTGGAGTAGAGATATAGGACGGAGGTGGAGATATGGGCCTGGAGTGGAGATATGGGCCTGGAGGTGATGTACAGATGGATCATCCATCATGATCTTTCTTTCCAGGGTTCTTCTTGCTGGAGGGGCCCTGGCCACATGTGGGTGAGTCCTTCCCCCAAACCTTAGGTTGTCATCTCCCCACATAAGATGATGTTCCTGAAACGGGAGGCAGGCGACACAGGGGGTTGACTGATGGGCTGACCATGGGAAGCCATGTGGGAATCTCTCATGAACTAGGAAAAGGAAGCCAGGGGAAGCTTCGCCACAGTTCTGTCCTAGCCCTCCCCGGCCTTTCTTTCCCTTGGCTGAGTCTGTGGGGACCCAGGGGGAGACTGAAGTGCTCAAAGGAGTGGTGTGCAGGGAGGAAGTGGTGTCACCGGCAGAGGAAGGGAGAGAAGCAGTGCAAGGAACAACAGGCCTCTGAGGACAAGAGCATAACTCACACCCTCCAGCGTTTCCATGACGGTAGGGGCTGCAATGTGGCTGCTGTCATTCTACCTAAGAGGTGGGGGAACCACAGTCATGACCCTGACATTCCAGATCTTCTAATAGGGGCTCAGTTGTTTATTATGGTTCATGCATTAGCTGATCATGCCCTCCATCCTGTGTCTACCTTGTGTTCTTTTATGTAAGTAATTTTGCAGTGTTAAAATCTAGTAAGAGTCGCTTCTTCAGCACCTGCTCAAAGTTCTCAGCTGACACTTGCTGTAGGGAGACGCCATGTCTATGCGGGATGGGTCCTTCCTGTAGCCCTGGGCACCCAGGTGTGGTAGGAGCCTTAGAAACGTGGAAATGGGAGAATCTTCTGAGCACAGGGAGGGAGGGGCGGCTCCACATCCTCCTCTCTAAGGTAGTGCCTCCTTCTCCCCCAGGTGGTCAGGACAAGCCCTTCCTCTCTGCCTGGCCCGGCACTGTGGTGTCTGAAGGACAACATGTGACTCTTCAGTGTCGCTCTCGTCTTGGGTTTAAAGAATTCAGTCTGTCCAAAGAAGACGGGATGCCTGTCCCTGAGCTCTACAACAGAATATTCCGGAACAGCTTTCTCATGGGCCCTGTGACCCCAGCACATGCAGGGACCTACAGATGTTGCAGTTCACACCCACACTCCCCCACTGGGTGGTCGGCACCCAGCAACCCTGTGGTGATCATGGTCACAGGTCAGAGGCTTTCTGTCTGGGCTTCTCACTGTCCCACCTCCTGAATCCCAGAGCTTCTGGTGGGGGTGTCCATCAGGGTCCAATCATCCAGGCCCTGGCTGTATTTGGGGTAAAGGGGGATTCAGTACAGAGAAATAGTTGCTGTGGTGGGAAGAATAATTGTCCCCAGTGATGGCTACATGGTAATCCATGAACCCTGTGACTATTTATGTCATAGGGCAGGGGACTGAAGGGGAAGATGGAGCTCAGGTTGTTGATGAGTTGACCTTGCGATGGGGAGACAGCCTGGACTGTCCTGCTGTGCTCAGAGTAATCACAAGGGTCCTCATGAGAGGAGGAGGAAGAGGAAAGTGGGGTTAGAGCAACGTCGTGGGAGGGAGACTCCATCAGCCACAGCGGGCTTTGAAGATGGGGGAAGGCCATGAGCCACAAAGGCAGTTGGCCTCTAAGGGCTGGAGAAGTCAAGGGAACTGATTCTTCCCTGAGTCTCCAGAGGAAACACAGCCCTGTAGATGCCTTGATTTTAGCCCAGAGAGAACTGGGTCCGATTTCTGTTCTCCAGAAGTGGAAGGGGTCATTGTATTCTCTCCTGCCCCATGTTTGTGACAATTTTCTCCAGCAGCAACAGGAAACCAACACAGGAACCCAGGTGAAGCACAAGTTAAGAAACCAAACAAGGAGAAGGTTGGCTACACTGATTTTAGCATGGGTGGGATACTGATGCTACCACCAGGCTCGATCCACATAGGGAGGGGTTGATGCTCCTGGAACCAGCACCAGGGGCCACCCTATGGAAGCTGGGGCCATGGAGAAGGCACAGACATGACAGGAGAGGCTCCCAATCCCCATCAGGAACAGGGACACTGATGCCTGCCTTACTGATGAGTTCGTACCTCCTGCCAGCCTTTCCAATCTGTCCAAAAGAGATTGATTCAGGCTGCTAAGAGCCTGGACATGCAGCCTGTCGTGGTTCCTCTTCCACCCCTACATAAACACAGGAAAGAGATTAGTGGGAAACAGATACAACAGCCTAAGAGGTGACACTGAGCACAGTGGGAAGGGAATCAGGGCTACTAGAGACAGAGAGACAGGGAAGAGGGAGGGAGACAGATGGAGGGACCTGCAACAGGGGTTATGGGCACAAAAGAACACGGAGACACAGAGAGGAAGGAGAGAGATAGACACCATGGAGGGGAAGCCTCACTTATTTCAGGTCCCATGAATGGGATGAGAAAGGGAGACGCCTTCTGAACTCACAACCTCTCTTCTTAGGAGTCCACAGAAAACCTTCCCTCCTGGCCCACCCAGGTCCCCTGGTGAAATCGGGAGAGACGGTCATCCTGCAATGTTGGTCAGATGTCAGTTTTGAGCGCTTCCTTCTGCACAGAGAGGGGATCACTGAGGACCCCTTGCGCCTCGTTGGACAGCTCCACGATGCGGGTTCCCAGGTCAACTATTCCATGGGTCCCATGACACCTGCCCTTGCAGGGACCTACAGATGCTTTGGTTCTGTCACTCACTTACCCTATGAGTTGTCAGCTCCCAGTGACCCTCTGGACATCGTGGTCGTAGGTGAGAGAATACAGACCTGCCTCTCACCCTTGCTGGGAGATGGAGTGAATGATCTAGGACTGGAAGCCCCAGGTGGTCATGAGGAAGATGAGTGTGGGGTTCCTATGGAGAGAAAGTGACTTGGTGAGGTCTGTACCAACAAAGGCAGAGAAACAGGAGACACAAGTACAGACCTCATGTCATAACATAGAAGCCAGACACAGGGGCCATACAAGGTGTTAGAAAAAGAGATAAAGAGGTAAAGAAGACACAGAGAGACAGATATATCCCAGAGAGAGGTGTCCTTCTATGCTGACTTTGTTCAGAGACCAGGCACAGGTTAGAAGGTTCCATTCTGTTTTACCTCTACAAAGTGTTCTCTCCCAGGAGAACCCAAAGAGACACATCTATCTGGCCTGAGTTGGGCCGTGTGGCCCCAGGCTGGTGGCACCTACAGATGCTGTGTTTATTCTTAAACCTCTGCCTTCCGTGCAGTGGAGCTGTCATCGTCCCAGGACACCATGGCCCCAGGTGAGGGAGCAGAACACCAACCCCTGTATGTTGTGAGTTCCTGGAGTCCCCATACTGGATTCTGAGGCTCATATTCAAATAGCACCACATGTTATAGGATTACTGAGAACAAAAGCCCACAGAGAGACACGGAGTGAAATCAGGGAAATCAAAAAGCAAAGACATGAACACACACACAGAATGAGCCAGAAGAAGGGAATTGAGAGACTCACAGACACATAAAGAGACAGAAAAAGAGGGCAGAGAAGTGGAGCGTATGATGGAAGGAAGCAGAGAAAAGCCCTAAAATCAGAGCCCTGAGGGAGGGGCACAAAGACAGGGAAAGATAAAGATGTGGGGA
Source organism: Homo sapiens (assembly GCF_000001405.40). Taxonomy (NCBI): domain Eukaryota; kingdom Metazoa; phylum Chordata; class Mammalia; order Primates; family Hominidae; genus Homo; species Homo sapiens. Next base: position 711,599 of record NW_003571059.2, read on the forward strand.
TGGATTGCAGAGACTCCAAAAGGGAACTAGAGAGACTGAGAGGCAGAGAAAGACAAGGAGATGGAGAGAGACAGATGATAGATGGATAGATAGATATAGATAGATGAAAGATAAAAGGTATATGATAGATAATAGAGAGACAGGTGATAGACAAATAGATGATGAATGACTGATAGATGATATAGATAGACAAGTAGAAAGACAGACAGATGATATATAAATAGATATAGAGAGATAGAAAGACAGATAAACACATGATGATAGATGGATAGATGCATACATACATACATTGATTGATAGATGATAGATAACAGAGAGATAGGTCATAGATACACAGATGATGATAGATGATAGATACATACATAGATAAATGATAGATCGATCAATAGATAGTAGATAGAAATATGCAGAAAGTTATGAGCAAGACAGAAAGTGAGAGACTCAGAATTAAAGAAAGAGGAAGATCAAGTCAACCAGTCCAAGGAGGGTCAGAGAGAATAAAATGGTACAAAAAAAGAAAACATAGCTAGGGATGGAGAAGTGAGGTCAGAGACCTAGAGAGACAGAGAAGGTGGAAGGAGGAAATAGACATGAAGAGAGATGGGGGTGGAGGGTGAGAGAGAGAAAGAGAGCATTAAGTCATAGAGCAGGGGAGTGAGTTCTCAGCTCAGGTGTGAGGAGAGCTGTGACAAGGAAGAACCTCCCTGAGGAAACCACCTCTTCTTCTTCCAGGTCTATATGGGAAACCTTCTCTCTCAGCCCAGCCGGGCCCCACGGTTCAGGCAGGAGAGAATGTGACCTTGTCCTGCAGCTCCCGGAGCTTGTTTGACATTTACCATCTATCCAGGGAGGCAGAGGCCGGTGAACTTAGGCTCACTGCGGTGCTGAGGGTCAATGGAACATTCCAGGCCAACTTCCCTCTGGGCCCTGTGACCCACGGAGGGACCTACAGATGCTTCGGCTCTTTCCGTGCCCTGCCCCACGCGTGGTCAGACCCGAGTGACCCACTGCCCGTTTCTGTCACAGGTGAGAAAACACCATGCCTGTCCCATGTCTTGTGATCCTAGAGCCATAGCTGAGGAGCTTCCTGCTGATGATGGAGAGAAGCATGGACAGATGCCGAGACAGAACACACAGCATGGGTGTAAGGGCGGGGTCAGGGCGCAGGATGGCAGACAGGGCACCTCCAAACCCTCCTGTATGGCCTGCAAGGAGGCCCTTGATCAGGGTTCCAGGCACCCAGGCAGATGGAGAAAGAGGTCAGAACAGACCCAGAGGAGGGAGACTGGGCTCTGCCTGGGGAGATCAGAGGTTCTCTCAGCCCCTCAACCTTACCCACTTCCCAGAAGCCCATCCTGGCCTGTCACCCACAGAGAGATGTCATCACCAGCAACGCCTACACCCTTTTCTTTTTGTTTGAAGAAATATTTATTGAGGTGAAATATACCTATGTAATTTACCACCTTTACCATTTTTAAGTGTGAAGTCTACTGTTCATAAATACATTTATAGGCTGGGCACGGTGGCTCACGGTTGTAATCCCAACACTTTGAGAGGCCAAGGCAGGTGGATCATTTGAGATCAGGGGCTCAAGACCACCCTGGCCAACATGGGGAAAATCCATCTGTACTAAAAATACAAAATAATAATAATAATGATAATAATTAGCCGAGCATGGTGGCACATGCCTGTAGTCCCAGCTACTTGGGAGGGTTGGGCAGGAGTTGCACTTAATTGCAGGAGGCGGAGGTTGCAGTGAGCTGAGATCATGCCACTGCACTGCAGCCTGGGCAACAGAGAGAGACACTCTCTCAAAATTAATTAATTAATTAATTAGTATTCTTTTTTTTTTACCCTCCACCCTTCCCTTCCTGGCCTCTGGTAGCCACCATTCTACTCTCTACCTTTGTGAGATCCACCTTTTAGCTCCTGCATATGAGTGAGAAATGGAAATACTTGTAATGACCTCCAGTTCCATTCATGTGGCTGTAAATGACAGGATGTTACTCTTTCTATGGATGAGTTGTCCCTATTGTGTGTGTGTACCACATTCTCTCCATCCATTCACCCACTGATGGGCGGGTAGGTTGATCCACATCTTGGCTACTGTGAACACTGCTGGAACAGTCATGGGAGTGCAGATGTCACTTCGATACGCTGATGTCCTTTCCTTTGGGTTTACACCCAGTCATGGAATTGCTAGATCCTCTGGAAGTGTCTTTTTACATTTTGTTTTATGGTTTTTGTTTTTGTTTTTGTTTTTTTTAGACAGTTTCACTCTTGTTGCCCAGGCTGGAGTGCAGTGGTGCCATCTGGGCTCACTGCAACCTCCACCTCCAGGATTCAAGAGATTCCCCAGCCTCAGCCTCCCAAGTAGCTGGGTTACTGGCTCCCACCACCACACTCGGCTAATTTTTATATTTTTAGTAGAGACAGAGTTTCGCTATATTGGCCAGGCTGCTCTTCAACTCCTGACCTCAAGTGACCTACCCACCTCGGCCTCCCAATGTGCTGGGATTACAGGCATGAACCACTGTGCCCGACCTCATTTTATTTTTTGAGGAACTTCCATACTCTTCTCCTCTGTAATGGCTGTACTAATTTACATTCGTATCAGCAGTGTACCAGATGCAACCCTGGTTGACTCAGCAGAGCAAGAGACGTGCAGTAAGAGAGAATTTAGCTTATTTATGCACACGACACTTCCACTCACTCACTCGTTCAGCCAATGCCCCATGCTCTGGCTGTGCAGTGTGGAATCTTTTCCTATTGTTGCCATAACAAATTTCCACAAGCTTCGTGGATGAAAACATGTTTTTCTTAATTATCTCACAGTGCTGTAACTCAGAAGTATGAACTGCATTTCACTGGGCTGATATCAAAGGGAGAGTAAGGCTGGATTTCTTTTTAAGGTTCCAAGCAAGAATCTGCTCCTTAACGTTTCCCAGCTCCTAGAGGCTCCCACGTTCCTGGGCCCCTGGTCCCCTTCCTCCTTCCTCCTTCCTCAAAGCCCACAAAGGCTGGTCACGTCTCACATGGCATCATTCAGACTCTTCTTCTTTACCCATACCTTTTTCTCTGAATCCTGCTCTGCCTTCTTCCTCATCTTTTAAGGACTTTGGGATTCTATTGGGGTCACCAAGATAATCCATCTCAATCTCCCTAAAATCATCCAGCGTACCCTCTTTTTAAGTTCAGCTGATTAGCAACCGTAATGCCATCTGCAATCTTCATTCCTCCTTTCCTGTAAAATAACATATTCACAAGCTATGGAGGCTAAGACAGGGACATTTTGGGGGTGGGGCAGCATTCTCCTGCCTTCCACAAATGGTAAACAGGATGCATTTGGCCTCTGCTCTTGGGACGCTGATATTGCAGATGGGTAAATGCGAGGGCAGAGAATGAATGCACAAGGGTACCAATAAATGAATGATCCATTGGGAAGCATCTGTGCACCAAATCTGGGGTTTTTTGTGTGTGTGTGTTTTTTTTGTTTTCTTTTTTTTTTTTGAGTAGAGTCTCTCTCTGTTCCACAGGCTGGAGTGCAGTAGCACAATCTCAGCTCATTGCAACCTCTGCCTCCTGGGTTCATGCAATTCTCCTGCCTCAGCCTACCGAGTAGCTGGGATTACAGCTGTGCGCCACCACACTCGGCTAATTTTTTTGGTATATTTTTTAGTAGAAATGAGGTTTCACCATGTTGTGCAGGCTGTCTCAAACTCCCAATCTCAAGTGATCCCACCGCCTTAGCGTCCCTAAGTGCAAAGATTACAGGCGAGAGCTACTGCGCCCAGCCAGGATTTAAAATAAGTAATAGATAATGCTGAGTATATAATTTCAGGTGACAGAGAAGGTCTCACTGATCAGATAATATTTGTGACCTTAATGGAAAAAATGGATTCAACCCTTGGAAGATTGGCGGAAGGATTTTCCACACTGAGCTCTCAGCCGTGAAGGCACAAAGGTGGAAACATTCTTAGTTCAAGGAAGAGGCTCTGCCTCAAATGCTGGGAATGAGATGGGGAGAATGACAAGACAACTGTAGAGAGATGGAGAGCACACTGGGTACACAGGAAACTAAGGAGGAACAAGGAGCATGTTTTTGATACTCACAGCCCTTGGATTCAACTCAGAGCTAACTAGGAATCCCTACCTGATTAACAGTGACCGACATGAAAATAAGGGAGGCCCAGGTGCGTAACTGGAATCTAGGAGACCGTGGAAAAGGCAATTCCCGCCCCACTGGTGAAACGTAGGGTTGATTTACACACTAAATGAATGAAAGATGGATATAAGCTATGCTTGTGAGGTAGAATCATTTGCAGGGAGGGCTTGCTGGGTTTGATTTTTCCTAGTAGTTTAATCCTTGTTTCATTAATTTCTTTCTGAGATGTGTTTTTTTTCTACATCTAAATCCATACCTGGCAGAGGAGCGATAGACACATGAGGGGTGGTGCAAATGAAGGGACCTAGTATAATATAATATACAAGACTGTGGATGGGGGCTCACACCTGTAACCCAACACTTTGGGAGGCCAAGGCGGGTAGATCACTTAAGGGTAGGAGTTTGAGACCAGCCTGGCCAACATGGTGAAACCCCGTCTGTACTAAAAATACAAAAATTAGCCTGGTGCATTGGCACCTGCCTGTAATCCCAGCGACTGGGGAGGCTGAAGCAGAAGAATGGCTTCAACCCTGGAGGCAGAGGTTGAACTGAGATCGCATCACTGCACTCCAGCCTGACACAGGGGGACTCTGTCTCAAAAAATAAAAATAAAACATACATAATTATGACACACAGAAATTACAAAGGCAACTGGATACCAACCATCATTTTTCTATTTCTCTGTGTTTAATTCTTTGACCCTTTATCTTATCCATTAAACAATCAGGTTAAACCTCTTCCTTATTTGGCTTTCTGTGAGCTTGGGATCATATGGAAAATGTGAAAGCCTCCTGAACCCACCAGCACAGGTCCTGGAATAGAGAACGTGCTCTGTTCATGGCATAAAACTTGCCCCTTCACCCAAATCCCCCAATTCATCTCTACTTCCAATCACCTATGGAGATACAGATAGATCATGGGGAGGTAAACACTAATACTCTTTGGAGTGAGCTCAGATCTTGGACTCAGAGACCAGTGCCAGCACTAGCCCCTGGTCACATTTCGTACTAACTCACAGAAGGACAGGCTGTATTGAAACAATAAACGACGGAGAGGGCGGTCCTTCCCCGTGCTTCTCGGGTGGAATAGCAGCCTAATATATGTCTCAGCAGATCACAAAAAGTAGCATGTTGTTCCTGGGCTACATCATTATTTCATGGCTGTTTGATTTAAGTCAGTTCTACTTCACTTTTTTTATCTTGATTTCATTTTTTCTTTCTTTTCTTGGAGAATGTAATTTTTTTGAGTCAAGAGGGTTGTGGTGGTAGAAACTGTAAAGCACATTCGCTGTGTATCAATCCCAATCCAGTCTTCCCAGAGAAGATTCTAAACACCTCCTGGAATGCACCTGGGCCTATACCAATTCCTATCACTCACCGTCACTCCAGGGAGACAGAACACACAGAGAACACATTACACAGGCAGGTTCATTACTAACAGATAAGCAGCGAGTGACAACAGAAACCTACATTTCAATGTGAGCCAGTCCCTCAAGGCTCAGAAAAGCTGCTCGAGACATGTGGAGTCACCCCATATGCAGTGTATCTGGGGGAAATCAAAAAGCAGCCCAGCCTGGGTTTTGTACCCTGGAGCCACAGGAAGCACTCAGCTAAAGCACTGCATGACGTCCTCCTCCAGGAAGAACAGGAAGACAGCCCAGGCTGTTCTGGGATGTTCCTCCTGATCTCAGGACGTTGCTGTCTTAGTCCATTTTTGTTGCTCTAAAGGAACACTTGAGCCTGGGTAACTTCTAAAGACAAGAAATGTGTTTGCCTCACAGTTCTGCAGGCTGTACTGGAAGCATGGCACCAGCATCTATTTCTTGTGACGGCCTCAGGCTGCTCCCACTCTGGCAGAAGGGAAGGAGGGTCTGTCTGTGCAGAGACCACAGAGATCACACGGCAAGAGAGGGACCAAGGGGGAGGGGGAGCGATGGAGCTTCCAAGCTCTTTTAACAACCAGTTCTCCAGGAACTAATAGAGGGGGAACTTGCTAACCCCGTCTCCTTGGAACAGCATTGATCTGTTCATGATGGATCCACCTCCATGACCCAAACAACTCCCAAGAGGCCCAACCTCCCACTCTGGGGGTTACATTTCAATGTGAGGTTTGAAGGGGTCAAACATCTAAACTAAAGCAGTTGTATCCTCAGCACGTTCTATGGTTACTACAACTGAGAAAGCAGGAGGAAGCTAGGTCTCCCGCCATCTGGGTGCTTGTCCTAAAGAGACGTTGTATGTGGTTACCTGTCAATCAAGAAATGTGAGACAATTCATATAGAGGAACTGCTATGATTAGCTTCTTATTGGTGTCTTGTCTTCCTCCAGGTAACTCCAGAAACCTGCACGTTCTGATTGGGACCTCAGTGGTCATCATCCCCTTTGCTATCCTCCTCTTCTTTCTCCTTCATCGCTGGTGTGCCAACAAAAAGAGTAAGTCTCACGAAGCAGAAGCCAGAGAGCTCAGGGCCATGTGGGGAAGCAGGATGGGAGCACTCAGGTGTGTGTTCCTCACAGACTGGATGGTCCCTGGCCCAAGGCAGGAGCCACAGAGGCAGGACTTTCTAGAGAGAGCACCAGACTCCCTGCCTCTGCCTTCAGCTCACAGACCATTGCCTGATTCTGAACCGTATCCTCACATCCCCTGCAGCCACTCACATCCAGGAGAAGGTTCCATGACAGGCAGAAAGTGGGACACAGAATCAATAGGATGGGAACTCAGAGCTATACATGGGATGGATCCTTGAGCTCAGAGAGATAGAATGTCTGAGTCTGCTGTTGGCAACTGAGGGACCTCAGGCACCTATGGCCTCCCCCTGTATGTTGGTATCTGCTTATGAAATGAGGACCCAGAAGTGCCCTCCGAGCTGTTTTGACGACTTCCGTCTTCTACAGATGCTGTTGTAATGGACCAAGAGCCTGCAGGGAACAGAACAGTGAACAGGGAGGTAGGTGCTCCTCCGCCCAGCCTCGTGGCTAGTCTTATTCCCAAAGAGTCCTGGAAAATGTGAGCACCCTCCCTCACTCAGCATTTCCCTCCCTCCAGGACTCTGATGAACAAGACCCTCAGGAGGTGACATACGCACAGTTGAATCACTGCGTTTTCACACAGAGAAAAATCACTCGCCCTTCTCAGAGGCCCAAGACACCCCCAACAGATACCAGCGTGTAACACGGAACTTCCAAATGCTGAGCGCAGATCCAAAGTTGTCTTCTGTCCACTAGCACCACAGTCAGGCCTTGATGGGATCTTCTAGGGAGACAATAGCCCTGTCTCAAAACCGGGTTGCCAGCTCCCATGTACCAGCAGCTGGACTCTGAAGGCGTGAGTCTGCATCTTAGGGCATCGCTCTTCCTCACACCACGAATCTGAACATGCCTCTCTCTTGCTTACAAATGTCTAAGGTCCCCACTGCCTGCTGGAGAGAAAACACACTTGCTTAGCCCACAATTCTCCATTTCACTTGACCCCTGCCCACCTCTCCAACCTAACTGGCTTACTTCCTAGTCTACTTGAGGCTGCGATCACACTGAGGAACTCACAATTCCAAACATATAAGAGGCTCCCTCTTAACACGGCACTTAGATACGTGCTATTCCACCTTTCCTCAGAGTATCTTTCAGCCTTCTGTCAGCAGTAAAACTTATAAATTTTTTTTATAATTTCAATGTAGTTTTCTATTCTTCAAGTAAACATGTCTGCCCTCATGGTTTCTTCAATGGGACTCTTTTCTTGCCTAAGGCTTCCGGTGTTATCATTACCACGTCCACATAACCCCATCTGTTCTCCGCTGGGTTCTCAGCCCTGGACTCTGAGCTTCTGGAAGCATGGTGGAGCCTGAATTGTCTCTGAGACTCCAATTTCCATCCAAAGATGCAGCACATAGGAGGTTCCAAGGATGGTGAATCAGATGAACAAGTGATATTCTTACTCTCTGCAGATCTGGAAAGCTGGCAGAGTCATTCCACGATGAAACATTTGTAGAGTCATAGGCCTTGTTAGTCTCATCTCCACAGGGACACGTATCAACACATCATCTTTCATACTACTATAAATAGACAGTCACTCCTCCATATCTCTGGGGTTTACACATGTTTATTGAATCAGCAATAAATCAAAAATATTTTGAGAAAAAAAATCCCCGAAGTTTCAAAAAGCAAAAAACTATGTTGAATCGACACAAATTGAGTGGCGTGTAGGCTGTGTCAGGAATTATAAGTAATCAAGAGATGATTTCATGTATACAGGAGGATGTGCATGGGTTCTATGCAATTGCTATGCTATTTTTTTTTTTTTTTTGAGACAGTCTCACTCTCTCACCCAGGCTGGAGTGCAGTGGCGTGATCTCAACTCACTGCAACCTCCGCCTTCCAGGTTCAAGCGATTCTCTTCCCTCAGCCTCCCCAGTAGCCTCCCCTAGGATTACAGGCACGTGCCACCATGCACAGATAAATTTTTTTGTGTGTATATTTTTAGTAGAGATGGGGTTTCAGAATGTTGGACCAGCTGGTCTTGAACTCCTGACCTTGTGATCTACCCAGCTCAGCCTCCCAAAGTGCTGGGATTACAGGCGTGAGCCACGGTGCCCAGCTTCACTATGCCATTTCATGCAAGGGGCTTGAGCATCTGCAGATTTTGGTATCTGAATGGGGATCCTGGAACCAATCACCCAGGTATAGTGAAGGACCATGGTATATAATTTTTATTTGTCAATCTTAAAAATAAAGCATAAAAAATTTACAACAACAAGATAAAAAATAAGAAGTGTTTTTATAGTGTGAGGATAAGTTTAGATTTATTTTTTCCTACGTGTAACCCTATGGTCCTGTGTTATTTGTTGAGAAAATATTCTATTCCACCTTAAACTACATGGCAGCCTTTGTCAACTATAAAGGGACTGTGTATCCACAGATGTATTTTAGACACAGTTTTCTGTCCAGTGGTTCTCTGTATCCCCTCTCATGAGGATGCTGCATTTTATATAAACTTATAGAACCCCTTAAAATTTGGTAACCTGAGTCCTCTGATTTGTTATTATAGGTTATTTAGTTTGCTTTTTTTTTTTTTCTTGAGACAGACTCTTCCTCTGTCACCCAAGCTGGAGTTCAGTGGCTTGAGCTCAGCTCACTGCAACCTCCGTCTCCCAGGTTCAAGCTATTCTGATGCCTCTGGTTTAGTAGTAGAAACTCAAGCAGGAAAATTAGAATGGCTTCTTGTCACAATTACTCTGATAATGTTAATAATACCTGTTAGACATTTTGCACATTACATATGAAGAAGAGTTTGAATCTCAGATAAAAACAAAAATACATCAAAAATCTTTAATGTAAGCACAGAATTCAATCATCTCGTGTATGAGAGGTTGGATCTGAGACGTCTTTTGAGTCTGGTCGTAGTGAAGGACGCAAGGTGTCAATTCTAGTGAGAACAATTTCCAGGAAGCCATGTTCCGCTCTTGAGCGAGCACCCACTGGGCCTCATGCAAGGTAGAAAGAGCCTGCGTACGTCACCCTCCCATGATGTGGTCAACATGTAAACTGCATGGGCAGGGCGCCAAATAACATCCTGTGCGCTGCTGAGCTGAGCTGGGGCGCGGCCGCCTGTCTGCACAGACAGCACCATGTCGCTCATGGTCGTCAGCATGGTGTGTGTTGGTGAGTCCTGGAAGGGCATCGAGGGAGGGAGTGCGGGGATGGAGATCGGGGCCCAGAGTTGGAGATATAGGCCTGGAAGTGGAGTTATGGGCCTAGAGATGGAGTGATGGGCCTAGAAGTGGAGATCTGGGCCTGGAGTGGAGATCTGGGCCTGGAGTGGAGATATGGGCCTGGAGGTTGAGATATGGGCCTGCAGTAGAGATATGGGCTTGTAGTGGAGACATGGGCCTGGAGATGGAGATATGGGCCTGGAGATGGAGATATGGGCCTGCAGTAGAGATAGGGGCCTGGAGTGGAGATATGGGCCTGGAGTGGAGATATGGGCCTGGAGTGGAGATATGGGCCTGGAGGTGGAGATATGGGCCTGGAGGTGGAGATATGGGCCTGGAGTGGAGATATGGGTCTGGAGGTGGAGATACGGGCCTGCAGTAGAGATATGGGCCTGGAGTGGAGATATGGGCCAGGAGTGGAGTTATGGGCCTAGAGGTGGATATCTGGGCCTGGAGTGGAGATATGGGCCTAGGAAGGAGATATGGGCCTGGGTGTGGAGATATGGGACTGGAGAGGTGATATGGGCCTGGAGTGGAGATATGGGCTTAGGGTGGAGATCTGGGCCTGGGGCGGAGATATGGGACTGGATTGGAGATAGGGGCCTAGGGTGGAGATCTGAGCCTGGATTGGCGATATGGGCCTAGGGTGGAAATATCAGCCTGGAGTGGAGATATGGGCTTGGGGTGGGGATATGGGCCTGGAAACTGGGTCTCTGCACAGCCGACAGCCCTGTTCTTGGGTGCAGGTAGGCACTGAGGGTGAGTTTAACTTCAGCCCAGGAAGGGCCTGGCTGCCAAGACTCACAGCCCAGTGGGGGCAGCAAGGGAGGCCTGGTTTGCCTGCAGATGGATGGTCCATCATGATCTTTCTTTCCAGGGTTCTTCTTGCTGCAGGGGGCCTGGCCACATGAGGGTGAGTCCTTCTCCAAACCTTCGGGTGTCATCTCCCCACATAAGAGGATTTTCCTGAAACAGGAGGGAAGTCCTGTCGGGGAGTCTCTCATAAACTAGGAAGAGAGGACCCTGGGGTGCTCAGCCCACATTTCTGACCTCGCCTCCCTGGCCTCTCAACCCCTTGGCAGAGTCAAGTTCTGTGGGGACCAGGGTTAGACTGGGGTGCTCAAAGCTGGGGTGTGTGGTTGGGAAGTGGTAGGAACAGCAGATCCTCTGAGGACAAAGGTGTTACTCACACACTTCAGCGTTTCCATGATGGTAGGGGCTGCAGTGTGGCTGCTGTCATTCTACCAGAAGAGGTGGGAAACCACAGCCATGGCCCTGACATTCCAAATCCTCTGATGGGGGCTCAGTTGTTTATTTTCGTTCAGGCATCCGCTGATATCCATTCACAAAGGACATGCCCTCCACCTCATGTCTACCCTGTGTTGTTTTATGTGAGTAATCTTACAGTATTAAAATCTAGTAGGAGTCTCTTTACTCAGCACTTGCTCAAAGTTCTCAGCTGAGGCTTTTGTTGTAGGGAGACACCATGTCTTTGCGGGATGGGTCCTTCCTTCAGCCCTGGGCACCAAGGTGTGATAGTAGCCATAGAAACGTGGAAAGCGAGGAGAATCTTCTGAGCACAGGGAGGGAAGGGCAGTTCCACATCCTCCTCTCTAAGGCGGCGCCTCCTTCTCCCCAAGGTGGTCAGGACAAGCCCTTGCTGTCTGCCTGGCCCAGCCTTGTGGTGCCTCTAGGACATGTCATTCTTCGGTGTCACTCTTATCTTGGGTTTAACAACTTCAGTCTGTAAAAGGAAGGTGGGGTGCCTGTCCCTGAGCTCTACAACAGAATATTCTGGAACAGCCTTTTCATGGGCCCTGTGACCCCCGCACACACAGGGACATACAGATGTCGGGGTTCACACACACACTCCCCCAGTGGGTGGTCAGCACCCAGCAACCCCCTGGTGATCGTGGTCATAGGTCAGAGGGCTCCTGTCTTGGATTCTCCTTGTCCCACCTCCTGAATCCCAGAGCTTCTGTTGGGCATGTCCTTGAGGGTCCCATCACGCAGGCCCTGACTGTATTTGTGGTAAAGGGGGATTGAATACAGGGAAATGGGTGCTGTGGTGGGAAGAATAATTGTCCCCAGTGATGACTACATTCTAATCCCTGGAGTCTGTGACTATTTATGTTATAGGGGAAGGGACTGAAGGGGAAGATGGAGCTCATGGGGAGACAGCCTGGACTGTCCCACTGGGCTCAGTGTAATCACAAGGGTGCACATGAAAGGAGGAGGAAGAGGGGAGTGGGGATTAGAGCAGTCCAGTGGAAGTCTTCACCAGCTTTGAAGGTGGAGGAAGGCCAAGATCCATGAATGCAGGTGGCCTATAGAGGCTGGAAAAGTCAAGGAACTGATTCTCCAGAGTCTCCAGAGGGAACAAAGCCCTGCAGATGCCTTGATTTTAGCCCAGGAAAAATAGGGTCCAATTTCTGTCTCCAGTACTGGAAGGTGTCAGTGTGGTCTCTCCTGCTGCCATGCTTCTGATAATTTTCTACAGCAGCAACAGGAAACCAACACTGGAACCCAGGTCAAGGACAAGTTAAGAAACAACCCAAGGAAAGCCAGGCATGGTGGCAGGTGCATGTAATCCTAGCGACTCAGGAGGCTGAGGGCAGGAGAATCACTTGAACCCAGGAGACAGAGGTTGCAGTGAGCCTAGACCACACCACTTCACTCCAGCCTGGGTGAAGGAGTGAGACTCTGTCTCCATAATTAATTAATTAATTAAAGAAACCAAACAAGGAGAAGGTTGGCTACCCTGAGATCAGCAAGGGTGGGATGATGATGCCACCACCAGGCTCCATCCACATAGGGAGGGGTTGATACTCCTCCAACCAGCACCAGGAGCCAGCCTATGGAAGCTGGCACCATGGAGAAGGCACAGGCATGGCAAGAGTGGCTCCCAGTCCCCACCAGGAACAGGGTGTGTGGACACTGGTGCCTGCCTTATTCATCAGTTCATACCTTCTGCCAAGGATTGCAATTCATCCAAAAGAGATTGAACCAGGCTGATAAGAGCCTGGATGTGCAGCCTATCCTGGTTCCTCTTTCACCCCCACATAAACAGCAGGAAATACATTAGTGTGAAATAGATACAACACCCCAAGAGATGAGGCTCAGCCCAGTGGGAAGGGAATCAGAGGCTACTAGAGACAGAGGGACAGAGAAGAGGGAGGGAGACAGATGGAAGGACCTGCACCAGGAGTTAAGGGCACAGAAAAGAACATGAAGACACAGAGAGGAAGGAGAGAGACAGACACCAGCAAGGGGAAGCCTCACTCATTCTAGGTGCCATGGATGGGATGATAAAGAGAGACACCTTCTAAACTCACAACCTCTCTTCCTAGGAGTCCACAGAAAACCTTCCCTCCTGGCCCACCCAGGTCCCCTGGTGAAATCAGAAGAGACAGTCATCCTGCAATGTTGGTCAGATGTCAGGTTTCAGCACTTCCTTCTGCACAGAGAAGGGAAGTTTAAGGACACTTTGCACCTCATTGGAGAGCACCATGATGGGGTCTCCAAGGCCAACTTCTCCATCGGTCCCATGATGCAAGACCTTGCAGGGACCTACAGATGCTACGGTTCTGTTACTCACTCCCCCTATCAGTTGTCAGCTCCCAGTGACCCTCTGGACATCGTCATCACAGGTGAGAGTGTCCGGACATTCTCATTGTCATTGGGATGCAGAGTGAATGATCCACGACTTGGAACCCCCAGGTAGTTGTAAGGAAGATGAGCTTGGTATTCTTATGGAGAGAGACTGACTTGCTGAGGTTTGTACCAACAGAGACAGAGAAACAGGAGACACAAGTACAGACCAGGTGTCATAACAGAGGACAGACACAGGGGCCATACAGGGAGTTAGAAAAGACAGAAAGAGTTAAAAGAGACAGACAGACAGACATGTCCCAGAGAGAGGTGTCCCTCCATGCTGACTTTGCTCACAGACCTGGCACAGGTTAGAAGTTTCATTTCTGTTTTACCTCCACAAAGTGTTCTCTACCAGGAGAACCCAAGGACACCCATATTTATGACCTGAGTTGGGCCCTGTGGCCTCAGGCCTTGTGGCACCTACAGGCCATGTTTATTCTGACACCTCTGCCTTCCATGTAATGGAGAGTAATCGTCCCAGGATATCATGGCCCCAGAACACCAACCCCTGTATGCTGTGTGAACTTGTGGTCTCCAGACTGGATTCTGTGGCTCACATTCCAAATAACCCCACATATGAAAGGATCACTGAGAGGCACAGAGAAAAATCAGGAACACCAAAAAGCAAAGACATAAACACACAGAGAATGAGCCAGAGGAAGGAGATTGAGAGACTCACAGACACATAAAGAGAGAGAAAAGAGGGCAGAGGAGTGGTGAGAATGATGGCAGGGAGCAGAGAAAAGCACTAAAATTAGAGTCCTGAGAGAGAGGCACAAGGACATAGAAACATGGAGATGTGGGGATGAATTGCAGAGATTCCAAAGAGAACTAGAGAGACCGAGAGGCAGAGCAAGACAGATGATAGATGGATAGATATAGATAGATGATAAATAGGTAGATGATAGATAATAGGTTAAAGATACATAGATGATGATTGATTGATTCATTAATAGATAATACATAGAGATGATGATGATGAAGACAGATAATACGTACAGATAGAGAGGCAGACAGAAATCATAGAGAGAGAGATGATACATACATATAAATAACAGATGATTGATGGATAGATAGACAAGTGATAGATACATAGATGATATATAGATATAGATGACAGGTAGAGAATTTGTAGATAGGCACCGAATAGATAAATAGATAGATCGACAGATAATAGATAGAAATATGCAGAAAGTTATGAACAGGACACAACGTGAGAAACTTAGAATTTAAAAAAGTAACATCAAGTCAACCAATCCAAGGAGAGTCAGAGAGAATAAAAGAATCCAAAAAGGGAAAACATATCTAGAGGTGGGGAAGCGAGGTCAGAGACCTAGAGAGACAGAGAAGGTGGAAGAAGGAAATAGACATGAAGAGAGATGGGGTGGAGGGTGAGAGAGAGAGAGAGAGAGAGCATTAGGTCATAGAGCAGGGGAGTGAGTTCTCAGCTCAGGTGAAGGGAGCTGTGACAAGGAAGATCCTCCGTAAGGAAAATGCCTCTTCTCCTCCAGGTCTATATGAGAAACCTTCTCTCTCAGCCCAGCCGGGCCCCACGGTTCTGGCAGGAGAGAGCGTGACCTTGTCCTGCAGCTCCCGGAGCTCCTATGACATGTACCATCTATCCAGGGAGGGGGAGGCCCATGAACGTAGGTTCTCTGCAGGGCCCAAGGTCAACGGAACATTCCAGGCCGACTTTCCTCTGGGCCCTGCCACCCACGGAGGAACCTACAGATGCTTCGGCTCTTTCCGTGACTCTCCATACGAGTGGTCAAACTCGAGTGACCCACTGCTTGTTTCTGTCACAGGTGAGGAAACCCCATATCTGTCTCATGTCCTATGATCCTAGAGCCTTAGCTGAGGAGCTTCCTGCTGATGATGGAGAGAAGCATGGACAGATGCAGAGAGAAGACGAAGCTTGGGTGTGAGGGAGGGATCAGGGCACAGGATGGCAGACAGGGCACCTCCAAACCCTCCTACACGGCCTGCATGAAGGCCCGCGGCCAGGGCTCCAGGCACACAGGCAGATGGAGAAAACGGTCAGGAGAGACCCAGAGGAGAGAGACTGGGCTCAGTTTGGGAAGATCAGAGGTTCCCTCAGCCCCTCAACATTACCCATTTCCCAGAAGCCCATCCTGGCCTCTCACCCACACAGGGATGTCATCACCAGCAACCCCTACACCCTTTACTTTTGTTTGAAGAAATATTTATTGAGGATAAATATACCTATATAGCTTACCACCTTTAACATTTTTTTTTTTTTTGAGGCAGAGTCTAGCTCTGTCCCCTATGCTGGAGTGCAGTGGCACAATCTCAGCTCACTGCAACTTCCGCCTCCTGGGTTCAAGTGATTCTCCTGCTTCAGCCACCTGAGTAGCTGGTGCTACAGGCGCGCACCACCACGCCAGGCTACTTTTTGTATTTTTAGT
The DNA here is from genome assembly GCF_000001405.40 of Homo sapiens. Classification (NCBI taxonomy): domain Eukaryota; kingdom Metazoa; phylum Chordata; class Mammalia; order Primates; family Hominidae; genus Homo; species Homo sapiens. The sequence continues at coordinate 727,548 of NW_003571059.2, forward strand.
AGAGAGGGGGTTTCACCATGTTGGTCGAGCTGGTCTCCAACTCCTGACCACGTGATCCACCCGCATCTGCCTCCCAAAGTGCTGGGATTACAGGCATGAGCCACCACGCCCAGCCACATTTACCATTTTTAAGTGTAAAGTCTAGTGGTCATAAATACATTTATATATATATATATATATATATATATACACACACACACACATATATAAACATATATATATATATATATATATATATATATATATTTTTTTTTTTTTTTTTTTTTACCCTCCACCCTTTTATTCCTGGCCTCTGGAAGCCACCATTCTACTCTCTACCTTCATGAGATCCACCTTTTAGCTCTGTATATGGGTGAGAAATGGGAATCTTTGTAATGACTTCCAGTTCCATCCATGTGGCTGCAAATATCAGGATGTTATTCTTTCTATGGATGAGTAGTCTCCACTGTGCGTATGTACTACATTCTCTCTATCCATTCATCCACTGATGGGCAGGTAGGTTGACTCCACATCTTGGCTACTGTGAACAGTGCTGCACCAATCATACGAGTGCAGATATCACTTCGATATATTGATTTACTTTCCTTTGGATATAAACCCAGTAGTGAAATTGCTGGATACTATGAAAGTTCTCTTTTTAGTTATTCGTTTGTTGTTTTGTTTTTGTTTTTGAGACAGTTTCCCTCTGTGCCCAGGCTGGAGTACAAGTGAAGTCATCTTGGCTCATTGCAACCTCCGCCTCCTGGGTTCAAATGATTTTCCTGCCTCAGCCTCCCTAGTAGCTGGGATTACAGGTGCACGCCACCATGCCTGGCTACTTTTTGTTTTTTTTAGTATAGATGGGGTTTCCCCATGTTGGCTGGGCTGCTCTCAAACTCATGACCTCAACTGAGGTGCCCGCCTCGGTCTCCCAAAGTGCCGGGATTACAGGCATGATCCACCTCACCCAACCTCTTTTTAGTTCTTTAAAGGACTTCCACACTTTTCTCCGTAAAGGCTGTACTAATTTACACTCCTACCAACAGGGTATTAGGGTTCTCCTTTCTCTACCACTTTGGCAGGATTTCCTTTGCCTGTCTTGCAGCTAAAAGCCATTTTATTTTATTTCATTTTATTTTGAGATGGAGTTTCGCTCTTGTCACCCAGGCTGGAGTGCAGTGGTGCGATCTCGGCTCACCACAACCTCCACCTCCCAGGTTCAAGCGATTCTCCTGCCTCAGCCTCCCGAGTAGCTGGAATTACAGGCACACGCCACCACGCCCAACTAAATTTTGTATTTTTAGTAGAGACAGTGTTTCTTCATGTGGGTCAGACTGGTCTCAAACTCCCGACCTTATGAGGTTCACCCACCTCAGGCTCTCAAAGGTCTAGGATGACAGACGTGAGCCACCACGCCCGGCCTAAAATCCATTTTAATGGGGTGAGATGAAAACTCACTTTGATTTTAATTTGTGTTTCTCTGATGATGAGTGAAACTGAGCACTTTTTAGTATGTGGGGAAATTTCATGTGTTTTGCTCCTTTTTCAATTAAATCGTTTGTTTTATTGAGTTGTTTGAGCTTCTTATATTTCTAGTTATTAATCCCATCTCAGATGCATAGTTTGCACATATTTGCTCCCAATCTGTGGGTTGTCTCTTCACTTTGTTGGTTTATTTTTAGCGGTGCAGAAGTTGCTTAGTTTGAGGTAATCCCAATGGTCTATTTTTGCTTCGATTACTTGTGTTTTGAAGGTTTAAAACAAAATGTCTTCCTTCAGACAAATGTCCTGGAGCATTTCCCCAATATTTTCTTCTACGTGTTTCATAGGTTCAGGCCTTAGACTCACATCTTTAATCCATTTTCATTTGAGTTTTGTGTATAGTGACAGGTAGAGGTGCAGTTTCATTCCTCTGCATGTAGATGTCCAGGTTTCCCTGCACTGTTTATTGAAAAGACTGTCCTTTCCTGATTGTGAGTTCTTGGCACCTTTGTCAAAGTCCATTGGATGGGCTGGGCATGGTGGCTGACACCTGCAATTTCAGCACTTTGGGAGCCCAAGGCGGGTGGATCACCTGAGGCCAGGAGTTCAAGATTAGTCTGGCCGACGTGATGAAACATTGTCTCCACTAAAAATATAAAAATTAGCTGAGCATGGTGGTCAGCACCTGTAATACCACTACTCAGGAGTTTGAGGCCAGAGAATTGATTGAACCCAGGAGGCTGTGGTGGCAGTGAACCGAGATTGCACCTCTGCACTCCAGCCTGGGTGACAGAGCGAGACTCCATCTCAAAAGAAAAAAGAAAAAAACATTGGAGGTAAATGCATGGATTATATCTGTGTTCTTCATTCTGCTCCATTGTTCTACGTGCCTTTCTTTATGCCAATGTGATGCTGTTTTGCTTACTACAGCTCTGTAACATATTTTGAGATCAGGTAGTGTGATGCTCCTGTTTTCTCTTTATACCTTGAAGTCTCAAGACAGTGGGCGTCACATACAAAAATTACGGAAAAAAGGATCCCAGGACTCCCAGGGCCCAATATTAGATAACAGAGTGTTGGCCATGAACCAACCTCAAAGATTTCCATTGAGTAGAGGACAGACACCCTCATTTCCTCACCTCTCTCCTGTCTCGTGTTCTAGGAAACCCTTCAAATAGTTGGCCTTCACCCACTGAACCAAGCTCCGAAACCGGTGAGTACAGAACCCTCTTATATCCGCTTTTGGAAACCTGGGGAGGTAGAAACCTTCGATGCAGGCATTGACTCAGCATCTCGCAGCTCTGACATTGTACGCCTGTCTTCTACCATCTCCGAACTCCAGATACTCCAACAGCGAAAGGGATCTGGGCCCAACCTAGGGCTCAGTGAAATCTCTTAATCTCTCATTTTATGGAGCTGAGACCTCCTACAAGCTAGAAGAATGATTGCCAATCTGACATCCTTCTCAGGAAAAATGCAATGTTTGTTCTGCCTGCATTCCTAACTGGAGGATAAATTCCTGGGGGCTTGAGAGAGGGAAGGGAAGGGAACATCTGATGAGGGCGAGGTGTTTTAGAGAAGTTCCACTTGCCAAGGAATGAATTACTGTTGGTCATGAAGCAACCCTGGCTGACTCAGCAGAGCAACAGCCTTGCCGTAACAGAGAACGGAGCTCATGCACGCACACTTCGACTCACTGACTCATTCAGCCACGGCCCCATGCTCAGGCTGTGCAGTGCGGAACCTTTTCCTATTGTTGCCATAACAAATTTCCACAAGATTCGTGGGTGAAAACAAAACGGTTTTTTAATTATCTTACAGTGCTGTAGCTCAAAGTAGGAAGTGCATCTTACTGGGCTAAAATCAAGGTGACAGCAAGGCTGCCTTCCCTCTGAGGATTCCAGGCAAGAATCTGCTTCTCACTTATCCCAGCTTCTAAAGGCTCCCAGTTCCTTGGCTCCTGTTCCCCTTCCTCCTTCCTCAAAGCCCACAAAGACTGGTCACATCTCACATGGCATCACTCAGTGCCTTCTTCCTTACCACACCTCTTTCTCTGAATGCTGCTCTCCCTTCTTCCTTATCTTTTGAAAACTTGGGGATTCTATTGGGTTCACCAAGATGAAAATCCCTCATAATCTCCTGGAAATCATCCAGGATACCCTTGTTTTAAGTTCAGCTGATTAGCAACCGCAATTCCATCTACAATCTTCATTCCTCCTTTCCATGTAAAATAACATATTCACAAGCTATGGAGGCTAGGACAGGGACATTTTGGGGTGGGACAGCATTCTCCTGCCTTCCACAAACGGTGAACAAGATGCATTTGGCTTCTGCCCTTGGGACACTGATATTGCAGATGGTTAAATGGGAGGGCAGAAAATGAATGCACAAGTGGATCTATAAATGAATGATCCATTGGGAAGCATCTGTGCATGAAATCTATTTTTTGTTTGTTCTTTTGTTTATTGAGACAGAGTCGCCCTCTGTCTTCCAGGCTACAGTGCAGTGTCACGATCTTGGCTCACTGCAACCTGCGTCTCCTGGATTCAAGTGATTCTCCTGCCTCCGCCTCTCGAGTAGCTGGGATTACAGGCAACTGCCACCGTGCCCGGCTAATTCTTTTTGTATATTTTTTGTAGAGAGGATGTTTCACCACGTTGGCCAAGCTTGTCTGAAACTCCCAACCTCAAGTGATCCGACCGTCTCAGCATGCCAAAGTAATGGGACTACAGGCGTGAGCCACTGTGCCCAGCCAGAATTCAAAATCAATAATAGATAATGCTGAGTGTATGATTTCAGGTGACAAAGAAGGTCTCACTATTCAGATATTTGTGACATTAATGAAAAACACGGATTGAACCCCTGAAAGATTGGCGGAAGGATTTTGCACACACAGCTGTCAGCCGTGAAGGCACAAAGGTGAAAACAATCTGATGTGGAAGGAAGAGGCTCTGCCTCAAATGCTGGGAATGATGTGGGGAGAATGACAAGACGACTGTAGAGAGACGGAGAGCACACTGGGTACACAGGAAACTAAGGAGCAACAAGGAGTGTGTGTTTGACACTCACAGCCATTGGATTCACCTCGGGGTAACCAGGAATCCCTACATGATTAATATGACTGACATGAAAATAAGGGAGGCTCAGTTGCATAACTGGAATCTAGGAGACCGTGGAAAAGGCAATTGCCACCCCACTGGTGAAATGTGGTGCTGATTTAGACACTAAATGAATGAAGTAGATGGATATAAGATATGTTTGTGAGGTAGAATCATTGACTGGAAACGCTTACTGGGTTTGATTTTCCTACTTGTTTAATCCTCGCTTAATTAATTTCTTTCTGAGATTTATTCATCCTACACATAAATCAATACCTGGCAAAGGAGTGACAGATATATGAGTGGTGGTGGAAATGAAGAGACTTATTATAGCATAATATACAAGTCTGTGAACAGTGGCTCACGCCTGTAACCTAGCACTGCAGGAGGCCAAGGTGGGTGGATTCCATGAAGTCAGGAGTTCCAGACCAGCCTGGCCAACGTGGTGAAACCCTATCTCTACTAAAAATACAAAAATTAGCCGAGCACGATGGTGCATCCCTGTAATCCCAGCTCCTATTCTGGAGGATGAAGCAGGAGAATGACTTCAACCCAGTAGGTGGAGGTTGCAGTGAGTGGAGATTGCATCACTGCACTCCAGCCTGGGGGACACAAGGAGACTCTATCTCAAAAAATAAAAATAAGAAATACATAAATATAATAAAACACACACGAATGACAAAGGCACCTGAATTCCAATCATCGTTTTTCTATTTCTCTATAATTACTTCTTTGATCCTTTATCTTATCCATTAGGCAATGAGCTTAAAACCTCTTCCCTATTTGGCTTTCTGTGAGAATGAGATCACATAGAAAATGTGAAAGCCCTCAGAATCCTCCAGCACAGATCGTGGAATAGAGAAAGTGCTCTGTTCATCGCAACAAAAAACTTGCCCACTCACCCAAATCCCCCACCTCACCCCTACTTCCAATCACCTGTGGAGATTCAGATAGGCTATGGGGAGGTAAACATTGATACTCCTTGGAGTGAGTCCAGATCTTGGAATCAGAGATCAGTGCCAGCACTAGCTCCTGCTCCCCTTTCCTACTAATTCACAGGAGGACAGGTGGTATTGAAGCAATAGATGGCCGAGGGGGTGGTCCTTCCCCCAGCCTCTCGGGTAGAACAGCAGCCTAACATGTGTCTCCCGAGATCACAAAGAGTAGCACGTTTCACACGGGCTTCAACACTATTTCCTGGCCATTTGACATAAGAGAATTCTACTTAGCTTTTTTTATCTTGATTTCACTTTTGTTTCCTTTTCTTGGAGAATGCAAGTTGTTTGATTCAAGAATGCTGTGGATGTAGAAATCCTAAAGCACATTCGCTGTGTATCAATCCCAGTGCAGTCTTCCCAGAGAAGACTCTAAATACCTCCTGGACTGCACCTGGGCTTATGCCAATTCCTATCACTCACCGTCACTCCAGGGAGACAGAACACACAGAGAATACATTACACAGGCAGGTTCATTACTAACAGATAAGCAGCGAGTGACAACAGAAACCTACATTTCAATGTGAGCCAGTCCCTCAAGGCTCAGAAAAGCTACTCGGGACATATGGAGTCACCCCATTTGCAGTGTAGCTGGGGGAAGCCAGAGAGCAGCCCAGCCTGGGTTTTGTACTGTGGAGCCACAGGAAGCACTCAGCTAAAGCACTGCATGACGTCCTCCTCCAGGAAGAACAGGAAGACAGCCCAGGCTGTTCTGAGACGTTCCTCCTGATCTCAGGACGTTGCTGTCTTAGTCCATTTTTGTTGCTCTAAAGGAACACTTGAGCCTGGGTAACTTCTAGAGAAAAGAGATTGGTTTGCCTCACAGTTCTGCAGGCTGTACTGGAAGCGTGGCACCAGCATCTATTTCTCGTGACGGCCTCAGGCTGCTCCCACTCTGGCAGAAGGGAAGGAGGGTCTGTCTGTGCAGAGACCACAGAGATCACACGGCAAGAGAGGGAGCAAGGGGGAGGGGGAGCGATGGAGCTTCCAAGCTCTTTTGAACAACCAGCTCTCCAGGAACTAATAGAAGGGGAACTTGCTAACCCCGTCTCCTTGGGACAGCATTGGTCTGTTCATGATGGATCCACCTCCATGACCCAAACACCTCTCAAGAGGCCCAACCTCCCACAGTGGGGGTGAAATTTCAATGTGAGGTTTGAAGGGGTCAAACATCTCAACTAAAGTAGTTGTATCCTCAACACGTTCTATGGTTACTATGAGAGCTATAACTGAGAAAGCAGGAGAAAGCTGGGTCTCCCTCCATCTGGGTGCTTGTCCTAAAGGGGTGTTGTATGTGGTTACCTGTCAATCAAGAAATGTGAGACAATTCATAAAGAGGAACTGCTATGATTAGCTTCTTATTGGTGTCTCCTCTTCTTCCAGGTAACCCCAGACACCTGCATGTTCTGATTGGGACCTCAGTGGTCATCATCCTCTTCATCCTCCTCCTCTTCTTTCTCCTTCATCGCTGGTGCTGCAACAAAAAAAGTAAGTCTCACGAAGCAGAGGCCAGAGAGCTCAGGGCCATGTGGGGAAGCAGGATGGGAGCACTCAGGTGTGTGTTCCTCACAGACAGGATGGTCCCTGGCCCAAGGCAGCAGCCACAGAGGGAGGACTTTCTAGAGAGAGCACCAGACTCCCTGTCCCTGCCTTCAGCTCACAGACCATTGCCTGATTCTGAACTGTATCCTCATGTCCCCTGCAGCCACTCACATCCAGGAGAAGGTTCCATGACAGGCAGAAAGTGGGAGACAGAATCAATGGGATGGGAACTCAGAGCTATTCATGGGATGGGTCCTTGAGCTCAGAGAGATAGAATGTCTGAGTCTGCTGTTGGCAACTGAGGGACCTCAGGCTCCTATGGTCTCCCCCTGTATGTTGGTATCTGCTTATGAAATGAGGGCCCAGAAGTGCCCTCTGAGCTGTTTTGTTGACTTCCGTCTTCTACAGATGCTGTTGTAATGGACCAAGAGCCTGCAGGGAACAGAACAGTGAACAGGGAGGTAGGTGCTCCTCGGCCCAGCCTCGTGGCTAGTGTTATTCCCAAAGAGTCCTGGAAAATGTGAGCACCCTCCCTCACTCAGCATTTCCCTCTCTCCAGGACTCTGATGAACAAGACCCTCAGGAGGTGACATATGCACAGTTGAATCACTGCGTTTTCACACAGAGAAAAATCACTCGCCCTTCTCAGAGGCCCAAGACACCCCCAACAGATATCATCGTGTACACGGAACTTCCAAATGCTGAGCCCTGATCCAAAGTTGTCTCCTGCCCATGAGCACCACAGTCAGGCCTTGAGGGGATCTTCTAGGGAGACAACAGCCCTGTCTCAAAACTGGGTTGCCAGCTCCAATGTACCAGCAGCTGGAATCTGAAGGCGTGAGTCTGCATCTTAGGGCATCGCTCTTCCTCACACCACAAATCTGAACGTGCCTCTCCCTTGCTTACAAATGTCTAAGGTCCCCACTGCCTGCTGGAGAGAAAACACACTCCTTTGCTTAGCCCACAATTCTCCATTTCACTTGACCCCTGCCCACCTCTCCAACCTAACTGGCTTACTTCCTAGTCTACTTGAGGCTGCAATCACACTGAGGAACTCACAATTCCAAACATACAAGAGGCTCCCTCTTAACACGGCACTTAGACACGTGCTGTTCCACCTTCCCTCATGCTGTTCCACCTCCCCTCAGACTAGCTTTCAGCCTTCTGTCAGCAGTAAAACTTATATATTTTTTAAAATAATTTCAATGTAGTTTTCCCTCCTTCAAATAAACATGTCTGCCCTCATGGTTTAGGTAATGGGACTCTTTTCTTGCCTAAGGCTTCCGGTGTTATCAGTACCATGTCCATATAATCCCATCTGTTCTCCACCGGGTTCTCACCTCTGGACTCTGAGCTTCTGGAAGCAGTGTGGAGCCTCATTTGTCTCTGGGACTCCAATTTCCATCCAAAGATGCAGCACATAGGAGGTTCCAAGGATCGGGAATCACATGAACAAGTGACATTGTTACTCTCTGCAGACCTGGAAAGCTGGCAGAGTCATTCCACGATGAAACATTTGTAGAGTCATAGGCCTTGTTAGTCTCATCTCCATGGGGACACATATCAACACATCATCTTTCATACTATAAATATACGGTCACTCCTCCGTATCTGTGGGGTTTACAGGTCTTTATTGAACAAAGTATAAATCAAAAATATTCAGAGAAAATATCCACAGAGTTCCAAAACTCATAACTATGTTGAATGGACACAAATGAAGCTGTGTGTAGGCTGTATCAGGAATTATAAGTAATCAAGAGATGATTTCATGTATACAGGAGGATGTGCATATGTTATTTGCAAGCGCTGTGCCATTTCATATAAGAGGCTTGAGCATCTACAGATTTTGGTATCTGAGTGGAGATCTCGAAACCAATCACCCACGAATAGTGAAGGATGACCGTATATGACTTTTATTTCTCAAATTTAAATATAAATCAAAAAATGTACAACTAGATAAAAACTAAGAAGTGTTTTTATAGTGTGAGTTAGATTTATTTTTTACTAGGTGTAACCCATTGGTTTAATATTATTTATTGAGAAGACATTCTATGCCACCTTAAACCACACGGCAGCCTTTGTCAACTCTAAAGGGACTGTGTGTACATGGATGTATTTTAGACAGTTTCTGCTAAGGGGCTGTCTGTGTCCACACACTTGATGATGCTACACTTTATGTAGCCTTATAGAACCCTTTAAATTTAGTAGCCAGAGCCCTCTAATTTGTTATTATAGGCTATTTGCTTTTTTTTTTCTTGAGGCGGAGTCTTGCTCTGTCGCCCAGGCTGGACTGCAGTGACACAATCTCAGCTCACTGCAACCTCCGCCTCCCAGGTTCAAGCGATTCTCGTGCCTCAGCCTCTTGAGTAGCTGGCGTTACAGGTGCCTGCCACCAGGCATGGCTAATTTTTGGATTTTTAGCAGAGACACGGTTTCACTATGTTGGCCAGGCTGCTCTCAATCCCCTCATCTCAGTTGATCCGCCCACCTCGGCTTCCCGACGTGCTGGGGAAACTTGATTTTCTATAGCATTATGTTACTGGATATTTCTGTAAAATTTAAAATGAGGGAGGCAGAGAGACAGAGAGAGATCAAACTCCAGAGTTGGGACTCTGGAATCTTGGGTCATGAGACAAATTTTAGATTAAACTACAAAACTCCAGAATTTACAGGTGTGGTTTTTGCTGATAAAGTACAATTCTAAGATTGTAAATAATTGCATAATCCTTCCCTGGGAATTTAAATCATTTTAACTGGTTCTGCTGTAATACTAGAAATACAAGCATGAAAAATTCTAATGGTTTATTAGTCACAATGACTCTGAAAACCTTAATAATACCTATTAAATATTTTGCATATTACACATGAAGAAGAGTTTGAATCTCAGATAAAAACAATAAAAATACATGAAAAGTCTTTCACGTTAGCACAGATTTTAGGCATCTCGTGTTCAGGAGGTTGGATCTGAGACGTGTTTTGAGTTGGTCATAGTGAAGGACGCTAGGTGTAAATTCTAGTGAGAACAATTTCCAGGAAGCCGTGTTCCGCTCTTGAGCGAGCACCCACTGGGCCTCATGCAAGGTAGAAAGAGCCTGCGTACGTCACCCTCCCATGATGTGGTCAACATGTAAACTGCATGGGCAGGGCGCCAAATAACATCCTGTGCGCTGCTGAGCTGAGCTGGGGCACGGCCGCCTGTCTGCACCGGCAGCACCATGTCGCTCACGGTCGTCAGCATGGCGTGTGTTGGTGAGTCCTGGAAGGGAATAGAGGAAGGGAGTGTGGGGTTGGAGATCTGGGCCCAGAGGTGGAGATATAGGCCTGGAGGTGGAGTTGTGGGCCTGGAGTGGAGATCTGGGCCTGGAGTGGATATATGGGCCTAGAGATGGAGTGATGGGCCTAGAAGTGGAGATCTGGGCCTGGAGTGCCGATAGGAACCTGGAGGGGAGATAGGAGCCTGGAGTGGAGATATGGGCCTGGAGGTGGAGTTATAGGCCTATAGTAGAGATATGGGCCTGGAGTGGAGATTTGGGCCAGGAGTGGAGATATGGGCCTAGAGGTGGATATCTGGGCCTAGAGTGGAAATATGGGCCTAGGATGGAGATATGGGCCTGGTTGTGGAGATATGGGACTGGAGAGGAGATATGGGCCTAGAGTGGAGATATGGGCTTGGGGTGGAGATCTGGGCCTGGGGTGGAGATATGGGCCTGGAGGTGGAGTTACGGGCCTTCAGTAGAGATATGGGCCTGGGGTGGAGATATGGGCTTGGGGTGGAGATCTGGGCCTGGAGTGGAGATATGGGCCTGGAGGTGGAGTTACTGGCCTTCAGTAGAGATATGGGCCTGGTGTGGAGATATGGGCCTGGATTGGAGATATGGGCCTAGGTTGGAGATCTGAGCCTGGAGTGGAGATATGGGCCTGGATTGGAGATATGGGCTTACAGTGGAGATCTTGGCCTGGATTGGCGATATGGGCCTGGATTGGCGATATGGGCCTATGATGGAAATATCGGCCTGGAGTGGAGATATGGGCCTGGAGTGGAGATACAGGCCTAGGGTGGAAATATTGGCCTGGAGTGGAGATATGGGCTTGTGGTGGGGATATGGGCTTGTGGTGGGGATCTGGGCTTGGAGGCTGGGTCTCTGCACAGCCGACAGCCCTGTTCTTGGGTGCAGGTAGGCACTGAGGGTGAGTTTAACTTCAGTCCAGGAAGGGCCTGCCTACCAAGACTCACAGCCCAGTGAGGGCAGCAAGGGAGGGCTGGTTTGCCTGCAGATGGATCGTCCATCATGATCTTTCTTTCCAGGGTTCTTCTTGCTGCAGGGGGCCTGGCCACATGAGGGTGAGTCCTTCTCCAAACCTTAGGGTGTCATCTCCCCACATAAGAGGATTTTCCTGAAACAGGAGGGAAGTCCTGTCAGGGAGCCTCTCATAAACTAGGAAGAGGGGACCCTGGGGTGCTCGGCCCACAGTTCCGACCTCGCCTCCCTGGCCTTTCATTCCCTTGGCAGAGTCAAGTTCTGTGGGGACCAGGGTTAGACTGGGGTGCTCAAAGCTGGGGTGCGTGGTGGGGAAGTGGTAGGAACAGCAGATCCTCTGAGGACAAAGGTGTTACTCACACTTCAGCGTTTCCATGACGGTAGGGGCTGCAGTGTGGCTGCTGTCACTCCACCAGAAGAGGTGGGAAACCACAGCCATGGCCCTGACATTCCAAATCCTCTGATGGGGGCTCAGTTGCTTATTTTCATTCAGGCATCTGCTGATATTCCATTCTCAAAGACATGCCCTCCACCCCATGTCTACCCTGTGTTGTTTTATGTGAGTAATCTTACAGTATTAAAATCTAGTAGGAGTCTCTTACTCAGCACTTGCTCAAAGTTCTCAGCTGACACTTTTGTTGTAGGGAGACACCTTGTGTTTGCGGGATGGGTCCTTCCTTTAGCCCTGGGCACCAAGGTGTGATAGCAGCCATAGAAACTTGGAAAGCGAGGAGAATCTTCAGAGCACAGGGAGGGAGGGGTGGCTCCACATCCTCCTCTCTAAGGCGGTGCCTCCTTCTCCCCAAGGTGGTCAGGACAAGCCCTTGCTGTCTGCCTGGCCCAGCTCTGTGGTGCCTCCAGGACATGTGATTCTTCGGTGTCATTCTTATCTTGGGTTTAACAACTTCAGTCTGTAAAAGGAAGATGGGGTGCCTGGCACTGAGCTCTACAACAGAATATTCTGGAAGAGCCTTTTCATGGGCCCTGTGACCCCAGCACACACAGGGACGTACAGATGTCGGGGTTCACACCCACACTACCCCAGTGGGTGGTCGGCACCCAGCAACACCCTGGTGATCATGGCCACAGGTCAGAGGGCTCCTGTCTTGGATTCTCCTTTCCCACCTCCTGAATCCCAGAGCTTCTGGTGGGCGTGTCCTTGAGGGTCCCATCACCCAGGCCCTGACTATATTTGGGGTAAAGGGGGATTGAATACAGGGAAATGGGTGCTGTGGTGGGAAGAATAATTGTCCCCAGTGATGACTACATTCTAATCCCTGGAGTCTGTGACTATTTATGTTATAGGGGAAGGAACTGAAGGGGAAGATGGAGCTCAGGTTGTTGATGAGTTGACCTTGAGATGGGGAGACAGCCTGGACTGTCCCGCTGGGCTCAGTGTAATCACAAGGGTCCACATGAAAGGAGGAGGAAGAGGGGAGTGGGGATTAGAGCAGCGCAATGGGAGACTCCACCAGCTTTGAAGGTGGAGGAAGGCCAGGAGCCATGAATGCAGGTGGCCTGTAGAGGTTGGAAAAGTCAAGGAAATGATTCTCCAGAGTCTCCAGAGGGAACGAAGCCCTGCAGATGCCTTGATTTTAGCCCAGGAAAAACAGGGTCCTATTTCTGTCTCCAGTAGTGAAATGGGTCAGTGTGCTCTCTCCTGCTGCCATGCTTCTGATAATTTTCTACAGCAGCAACAGGAAACCAACACTGGAACCCAGGTCAAGGACAAGGTAAGAAACAACACAAGGATAGCCGGGTGTGGTGGCAGGCGCATGTAATCCTAGCGACTTGGGAGGCTGAGGGCAGGAGAATCACTTGAACCCAGGAGACAGAGGTTGCAGTGACCCTAGACCACACCACTTCACTCCAGCTGGGGTGAAGGAGTGAGACTCTGTCTCCATAATTAATTAATTAATTAAAGGAACCAAACAAGGGGAAGGTTGGCTACACCGAGATGAGCAAGTGTGGGATGATGATGCCACCACCAGGCTCCATCCACATAGGGAGGGGTTGATACTCCTCAAACCAGCACCAGGAGCCAGCCTATGGAAGCTGGCACCATGGAGAAGGCACAGGCATGGCAAGAGTGGCTCCCAGTCCCGACCAGGAACAGGGTGTGTGGACACTGGTGCCTGCCTTATTCATCAGTTCATACCTACTGCCAAGGATTCCAATTCATCCAAAAGAGATTGAACCAGGCTGATAAGAGGCTGGATGTGCAGCCTATCCTGGTTCCTCTTTCACCCCCACATAAACAGCAGGAAAGACATTAGTGTGAAATAGATACAACACCCCAAGAGATGAGGCTAAGCCCAGTGGGAAGGGAATCAGAGGCGACTAGAGACAGAGGGACAGAGAAGAGGGAGGGAGACAGATGGAAGGACCTGCACCAGGAGTTATGGGCACAGAAAAGAACATGAAGACACAGAGAGGAAGGAGAGAGACAGACACCAGCAAGGGGAAGCCTCACTCATTCTAGGTGCCATGGATGGGATGATAAAGAGAGACACCTTCTAAACTCACAACCTCTCTTCCTAGGAGTCCACAGAAAACCTTCCCTCCTGGCCCACCCAGGTCCCCTGGTGAAATCAGAAGAGACAGTCATCCTGCAATGTTGGTCAGATGTCAGGTTTCAGCACTTCCTTCTGCACAGAGAAGGGAAGTTTAACGACACTTTGCACCTCACTGGAGAGCACCATGATGGGGTTTCCAAGGCCAACTTCTCCATCGGTCCCATGATGGAAGACCTGGCAGGGACCTACAGATGCTACGGTTCTGTTACTCACTCCCCCATCAGTTGTCAGCTCCCAGTGACCCTCTGGACATCGTCATCACAGGTGAGAGTGTCCGGACATTCTTCTCATTGTCATTGGGATGCAGAGTGAATGATCCACGACTTGGAACCCCCAGGTAGTTGTAAGGAAGATGAGCTTGGTATTCTTATGGAGAGAGACTGACTTGGTGAGGTCTGTACCAACAGAGACAGAGAAACAGGAGACACAAGTACAGACCAGGTGTCATAACAGAGGACAGACACAGGGGCCATACCGGGAGTTAGAAAAGACAGAAGGAGTTAAAGGAGACAGACAGACAGACATGTCCCAGAGAGAGGTGTCCCTCCATGCTGACTTTGCTCAGAGACCTGGCACAGGTTAGAAGTTTCATTTCTGTTTTACCTCCACAAAGTGTTCTCTACCAGGAGAACCCAAGGACACCCATATTTCTGACCTGAGTTGGGCCCTGTGGCCTCAGGCCTTGTGGCACCTACAGATGCCGTGTTTATTCTGACACCTCTGCCTTCCATGTAATGGAGAGTAACCGTCCCAGGATATCATGGCCCCAGAACACCAACTCCTGTATGCTGTGTGAACTTGTGGTCTCCAGACTGGATTCTGAGGCTCACATTCCAAATAACCCCACATATGAAAGGATCACTGAGAGGCACAGAGAGAAATCAGGGACACCAAAAAGCAAAGACATAAACACACAGAGAATGAGCCAGAGGAAGGAGATTGAGAGACTCACAGACACATAAAGAGAGAGAAAAGAGGGCAGAGGAGTGGTGAGAATGATGGAAGGGAGCAGAGAAAAGCACTAAAATTAGACTCCTGAGGGAGAGGCACAAGGACATAGAAAGATGGAGATGTGGGGATGAATTGCAGAGATTCCAAAGAGAACTAGAGAGACCGAGAGGCAGAGCAAGACAGATGATAGATGGATAGATATAGATAGATGATAAATAGGTAGATGATAGATAATAGGTTAAAGATACATAGATGATGATTGATTGATTCATTAATAGATGAGACATAGAGATGATGATGATGAAGACAGATAGATAATACATAGAGATAGAGAGGCAGACAGAAGTCATAGAGAGAGAGATGATACATAGATATAGATAACAGATGATTGATGGATAGATAGACAAGTGATAGATACATAGATGATATATAGATATAGATGACAGGTAGAGAATTTGTAGATAGGCACCGAATAGATAAATAGATAGATCGATAGATAATAGATAGAAATATGCAGAAAGTTATGAACAGGACACAAAGTGAGAAACTTAGAATTTAAAAAAGTAACATCAAGTCAACCAATCCAAGGAGAGTCAGAGAGAATAAAACAATCCAAAAAGGGAAAACATATCTAGAGGTGTGGAAGCGAGGTCAGAGACCTAGAGAGACAGAGAAGGTGGAAGGAGGAAATAGACATGAAGAGAGATGGGGTGGAGGGTGAGAGAGAGAGAGAGAGAGAGCATTAGGTCATAGAGCAGGGGAGTGAGTTCTCAGCTCAGGTGAAGGGAGCTGTGACAAGGAAGATCCTCCGTAAGGAAAATGCCTCTTCTCCTTCCAGGTCTATATGAGAAACCTTCTCTCTCAGCCCAGCCGGGCCCCACGGTTCTGGCAGGAGAGAGCGTGACCTTGTCCTGCAGCTCCCGGAGCTCCTATGACATGTACCATCTATCCAGGGAGGGGGAGGCCCATGAACGTAGGTTCTCTGCAGGGCCCAAGGTCAACGGAACATTCCAGGCTGACTTTCCTCTGGGCCCTGCCACCCACGGAGGAACCTACAGATGCTTCGGCTCTTTCCGTGACTCTCCCTACGAGTGGTCAAACTCGAGTGACCCACTGCTTGTTTCTGTCACAGGTGAGGAAAGCCCATGGCTGTCCCATGTCCTATGATCCTAGAGCCTTAGCTGAGGAGCTTCCTGCTGAGGATGGAGAGAAGGATGAACAGATGCAGAGAGAAGACGAAGCTTGGGTGTGAGGGAGGGATCAGGGCACAGGATGGCAGACAGGGCACCTCCAAACCCTCCTACATGGCCTGCATGAAGGCCTGCGGCCAGGACTCCAGGCACCCAGGCAGATGGAGAAAGCGGTCAGGAGAGACCCAGAGGAGGGAGACTGGGCTCAGTTTGGGAAGATCAGAGGTTCCCTCAGCCCCTCAACATTACCCATTTCCCAGAAGCCCATCCTGGCCTCCCACCCACACAGGGATGTCATCACCTGCAACCCCTACACCCTTTACTTTTGTTTGAGAAATATTTATTGAGGATAAATATACCTATATAGCTTACCACCTTTAACATTTTTTTTTTGAGGCGGAGTCTAGCTCTGTCCCCTATGCTGGAGTGCATTGGCACAATCTCAGCTCACTGCAACTTCCGCCTCCTGGGTTCAAGCGATTCTCTTGCCTCAGCCACCTGAGTAGCTGGTGCTACAGGCGCGCACCACCATGCCAGGCTACTTTTTGTATTTTTAGTAGAGAGGGGGTTTCACCATGTTGGTCAAGCTGGTCTCGAACTCCTGACCACGTGATCCACCCGCATCAGCCTCCCAAAGTGCTGGGATTACAGGCATGAGCCACCACGCCCAGCCACATTTACCATTTTTAAGTGTAAAGTCTAGTGGTCATAAATACATTAATATATATATATATACACATATTTTTTTTTACCCTCCACCCTTTTCTTCCTGGCCTCTGGTAGCCACCATTCTACTCTCTACCTTCATGAGATCCACCTTTTAGCTCCTGTATATGGGTAAGAAATGGGAATCTTTGTAATGACCTCCAGTTCCATCCATGTGGCTGCAAATATCAGGATGTTTTTCTTTCTATGGAAGAGTAGTCTCCACTATGCAAATGTACCACATTCTCTCTATCCATTCACCCACTGATGGGCAGGTAGGTTGACTCCTCATCTTGGCTACTGTGAAGAGTGCTGCACCAATCATACGAGTGCAGATATCACTTCGATATATTGATTTACTTTCCTTTGGATATAAACCCAGTAGTGAAATTGCTGGATACTATGAAAGTTCTCTTTTTAGTTTTTCGTTTGTTGTTTTGTTTTTGTTTTTGAGACAGTTTCCCTCTGTGCCCAGGCTGGAGTACAAGTGATGTCATCTTGGCTCATTGCAACCTCTGCCTCCTGGGTTCAAATGATTTTCCTGCCTCAGCCTCCCTAGTATCAGGGATTATAGGCGCACGCCACCATGCCTGGCTACTTTTTGTTTTTTTTAGTATAGATGCGGTTTCCCCATGTTGGCTGGGCTGCTCTCAAACTCATGACCTCAACTGAGGTGCCCGCCTCGGTCTCCCAAAGTGCCGGGATTACAGGCATGATCCACCTCACCCAACCTCTTTTTAGTTCTTTAAAGGACTTCCACACTTTTCTCCGTAATGGCTGTACTAATTTACACTCCTACCAACAGGATACCAGGATTCTCCTTTCTCTAACACCTTGCCAGCATTTCTTTTGCCTGTCTTGCAGCTAAAAGCCATTTTATTTTATTTCATTTTATTTTGAGATGGAGTTTCGCTCTTGTCACCCAGGCTGAGTGCAGTGGTGCGATCTCGGCTCACCACAACCTCCACCTCCCAGGTTCAAGCGATTCTCCTGCCTCAGCCTCCCGAGTAGCTGGAATTACAGGCACACGCCACCACGCCCGACTAATTTTTGTATTTTTAGTAGAGACAGTGTTTCTCCATGTGGGTCAGACTGGTCTCAAACTCCCGACCTTATGAGATTCACCCACCTCAGGCTCTCAAAGTTCTAGGATGACAGACGTGAGCCACCACGCCCGGCCTAAAAGCCATTTTAATGGGGTGAGATGAAAACTCACTTTGATTTTAATTTGTGTTTCTCTGATGATGAGTGATACTGAGCACTTTTTCGTATGTGGGGAAATTTCATGTCTTTTGCTCCTGTTTCAATTAAATCATTTGTTTTATTGAGTTGTTTGAGCTTCTTATATTTCTAGTTATTAATCCCATCTCAGATGCATAGTTTGCACATATTTGCTCCCAATCTGTGGGTTGTCTCTTCACTTTGTTGGTTTATTTTTAGCGGTGCAGAAGTTGCTTAGTTTGAGGTAATCCCAATGGTCTATTTTTGCTTCGATTACTTGTGTTTTGAAGGTTTAAAACAAAATGTCTTCCTTCAGACAAACGTCCTGGAGCATTTCCCCAATATTTTCTTCTACGTGTTTCATAGGTTCAGGCCTTAGACTCACATCTTTAATCCATTTTCATTTGATTTTTGTGTATAGTGACAGGCAGAGGTGCAGTTTCATTCCTCTGCATGTCGATGTCCAGGTTTCCCTGCACTGTTTATTGAAAAGACTGTCCTTTCCTGATTGTGAGTTCTTGGCACCTTTGTCAAAGTCCATTGGATGGGCTGGGCATGGTGGCTGACACCTGCAATTTCAGCACTTTGGGAGCCCGAGGTGGGTGGATCACCTGAGGCCAAGAGTTCAAGATTAGTCTGGCCAACGTGATGAAACATCGTCTCCACTAAAAATATAAAAATTAGCTGAGCATGGTGGTCAGCACCTGTAATACCACTACTCAGGAGTTTGAGGCAAGAGAAGTGATTGAACCCAGGAGGCTGTGGTGGCAGTGAACCGAGATTGCACCTCTGCACTCCAGCCTGGGTGACAGAGCAAGACTCCATCTCAAAAGAAAAACAAAAAATACATTGGAGGTAAATGCATGGATTATATCTGTGTTATTCATTCTGCTCCGTTGTTCTATGTGCCTTTCTTCATGCCAACGTCATGCTGTCTTGCTTACTACAGCTCTGTAACATATTTTGAGATCAGGTAGTGTGATGCTCCTGTTTTCTCTTTATACCTTGAAGTCTCAAGACAGTAGCCGTCACATACAAAAATTACGGAAAAAAGGATCCCAGGACTCCCAGGGCCCAATATTAGATAACAGAGTGTTGGCCATGAACCAACCTCAAAGATTTCCACTGAGTAGAGGACAGACACCCTCATTTCCTCACCTCTCTCCTGTCTCATGTTCTAGGAAACCCTTCAAATAGTTGGCCTTCACCCACTGAACCAAGCTCCAAAACCGGTGAGTACAGAACCCTCTTATATCCGCTTTTGGAAACCTGGGGAGGTGGAAACCTTGGATTCAGGCGTTGACTCAGCATCTCACAGCTCTGACATTGTACGCCTGTCTTCTACCATCTCCAAACTCCAGATACTCCAACAGCGAAAGGGATCTGGACCCAAAACAGGGCTCTGTGAAATCTCTTAATCTCTCATTTTATGGAGCTGAGATCTCCTACAAGCTAGAAAAATGATTGGCAATCTGACATCCTTCTCAGGAAAAATGCAATGTTTGTTCTGCCTGCATTCCTAACTGGAGGATAAATTCCTGGGGGCTTGAGAGAGGGAAGGGTAGGGAACATTTGATGAGGGCGAGGTGTTTTAGAGAAGTTCCACTTGCCCAGGAATGAATTACTGTTGGTCATGAAGCAACCCTGGCTGACTCAGCAGAGCAAGAGCTTTGCCTTAACAGAGAACGGAGCTCATGCACGCACACTTCGACTCACTGACTCATTCAGCCACGGCCCCATGCTCAGGCCGTGGAAAAGGCAATTCCCAGCACTGCAGGAGGCCAAGGCGGGTGGATCACTTGAAGTCAGGAGTTCCAGACCAGCCTGGCCAAAATGGTGAAACCCTGTCTCTATGAAAAATACAAAAATTAGCCGAGCATGGTGGTGCATCCCTGTAATCCCAGCTCCTACTCTTGAGGATGAAGCAGGAGAACGACTTCAACCCAGGAGGTGGAGGTTGCAGTGAGTGGAGATTGCATCACTGCACTCCAGCCTGGGTGACACAAGGAGACTCCGTCTCAAAAAATAAAAATAAGAAATGCATAAATATAATAAAACACACACGAATGACAAAGGCACCTGAATTCCAATCATCATTTTTGTATTTCTCTATAATTACTTCTTTGATCCTTTGTCTTATCCATTAGGCAATGAGCCTAAAACCTCTTCCGTATTTGGCTTTCTGTGAGCATGAGACCATATAGAAAATGTGAAAGCCTGCTGAATCCTCCAGCACAGATCGTGGAATAGAGAAAGTGCTCTGTTCATCACAAAAAAAACTTGCCCTCTCACTCAAATCCCCCACTTCACCCCTACTTCCAATCACCTGTGGAGATTCAGATAGACCATGGGGAGGTAAACATTAATACTCCTTGGAGTGAGTCCAGATCTTGGAATGAGAGATCAGCACCAGCACTAGCTCCTGCTCCCCTTTCCTACTAATTCACAGGAGGACAGGTGGTATTGAAGCAATAGATGGTGGAGGGGGTGGTCCTTCCCCCAGCCTCTCAGGTAGAACAGCAGCCTAACATGTGTCTCCCGAGATCACAAAGAGTAGGACGTTTCACAGGGGCTTCAACACGATTTCCTGGCTGTTGGACATAAGATAACTCTATTTCGCTTTTTTATCTTGATTTCACTTTTGTTTCCTTTCCTTGGAGAACGCAAGTTGTTTGACTCAAGAATGCTGTGGATGTAGAAATCCTAAAGCACATTCGCTGTGTGTCAATCCCAGTGCAGTCTTCCCAGAAAAGACCCTAAACACCTCCTAGACTGCACCTGGGCCTACGCCAATTCCTATCACTCACCGTCACTCCAGGGAGACAGAACACACAGAGAATACGTTACATAGGCAGGTTCATTACTAACAGATAAGCAGCGAGTGAAAACAGAAGCCTACATTTCAATGTGAGCCAGTCCCTCAAGGCTCAGAAAAGCTGCTCGGGACATATGGAGTCACCCCATTTGCAGTGTAGCTGGGGGAAGCCAGAAAGCAGCCCAGCCTGGGTTTTGTACCCTGGAGCCACAGGAAGCACTCAGCTAAAGCACTGCATGACGTCCTCCTCCAGGAAGAACAGGAAGACAGCCCAGGCTGCTCTGGGACGTTCCTCCTGATCTCAGGACGTTGCTGTCTTAGTCCATTTTTGTTGCTCTAAAGGAACACTTGAGCCTGGGCAACTTCTAAAGAAAAGAGATTGGTTTGCCTCACCGTTCTGCAGGCTGTACTGGAAGCATGGCACCAGCATCTATTTCTCGTGATGGCCTCAGGCTGCTCCCACTCTGGCAGAAGGGAAGGAGGGTCTGTCTGTGCAGAGACCACAGAGATCACACGGCAAGAGAGGGAGCAAGGGGGAGGGGGAGCGATGGAGCTTCCAAGTTCTTTTGAACAACCAGCTCTCCAGGAACTAATAGAGGGGGAACTAGCTAACCCCGTCTCCTTGGGACAGCATTGATCTGTTCATGATGGATCCACCTCCATGACCCAAACACCTCTCAAGAGGCCCAACCTCCCACAATGGGGGTGAAATTTCAATGTGAGGTTTGAAGGGGTCAAACATCTCAACTAAAGTAGTTGTGTCCTCAGCACATTCTATGGTTACTTTGAGAGCTATAACTGAGAAAGCAGGAGAAAGCTGGGTCTCCCGCCATCTGGGTGCTTGTCCTAAAGAGGTGTTTTACGTGGTTACCTGTCAATCAAGAAATGCGAGACAATTCATAAAGAGGAACTGCTATGATTAGCTTCTTATTGGTGTCTCATCTTCTTCCAGGTAACCCAAGACACCTGCACGTTCTGATTGGGACCTCAGTGGTCATCATCCTCTTCATCCTCCTCCTCTTCTTTCTCCTTCATCGCTGGTGCTCCAACAAGAAAAGTAAGTCTCACGAAGGAGAGGCCAGAGAGCTCAGGGCCATGTGGGGAAGCAGGATGGGAGCACTCAGGTGTGTGTTCCTCACAGGTAGGATGGTCCCTGGCCCAAGGCAGCAGCCACAGAGGCAGGACTTTCTAGAGAGGGCACCAGACTCCCTGTCCCTGCTTTCAGCTCACAGACCGTTGCCTGATTCTGAACTGTATCCTCATGTCCCCTGCAGCCACTCACATCCAGGAGAAGGTTCCATGACAGGCAGAAAGTGGGAGACAGAATCAATGGGATGGGAACTCAGAGCTATTCATGGGATGGGTCCTTGAGCTCAGAGAGATAGAATGTCTGAGTCTGCTGTTGGCAACTGAGGGACCTCAGGCACCTATGGCCTCCCCCTGTTTGTTGGTATCTGCTTATGAAATGAGGACCCAGAAGTGCCCTCCGAGCTCTTTTGTTGACTTCCGTCTCCTACACATGCTGCTGTAATGGACCAAGAGCCTGCAGGGAACAGAACAGCGAATAGCGAGGTAGGTGCTCCTCGGCCCAGCCTCGTGGCTAGTGTTATTCCCAAACAGTCCTGGAAAACGTGAGCACCCTCCCTCACTCAGGATTTCCCTCTCTCCAGGACTCTGATGAACAAGACCCTCAGGAGGTGACATACGTACAGTTGGATCACTGCGTTTTCACACAGAGAAAAATCACTCGCCCTTCTCAGAGGCCCAAGACACCCCCAACAGATACCAGAGTGTACACGGAACTTCCAAATGCTGAGTCCAGATCCAAAGTTGTCTCCTGCCCATGAGCACCACAGTCAGGCCTTGAGGGGATCTTCTAGGGAGACAACAGCCCTGTCTCAAAACCGGGTTGCCAGCTCCCATGTACCAGCAGCTGGAATCTGAAGGCGTGAGTCTGCATCTTAGGGCATCGCTCTTCCTCACACCACAAATCTGAATGTGCCTCTCTCTTGCTTACAAATGTCTAAGGTCCCCACTGCCTGCTGGAGAGAAAACACACTCCTTTGCTTAGCCCACAATTCTCCATTTCACTTGACCCCTGCCCACCTCTCCAACCTTACTGGCTTACTTCCTAGTCTACTTGAGGCTGCAATCACACTGAGGAACTCACAGTTCCAAACATACAAGAGGCTCCCTCTTAACACGGCACTTAGACACGTCCTGTTCCACCTTCCCTCATGCTGTTCCACCTCCCCTCAGAGTATCTTTCAGCCTTCTGTCAGCAGTAAAACTTATATATTTTTTAAAATAATTTCAATGTAGTTTTCCCTCCTTCAAATAAACATGTCTGCCCTCATGGTTTCGGTAATGGGACTCTTTTCTTGCCTAAGACTTCCATTATCATTACCATGTCCACATAACCCCATCTGTTCTCCACTGGGTTCTCACCCCCGGACTCTGAGTTTCTGGAAGCAGGGTGGAGCCTCATTTGTCTCTGGGACTCCTATTTCCATCCAAAGATGTAGCACATAGGAGGTTCCAAGGATCGTGAATCACATGAACAAGTGATATTCTTACTCTCTGCAGACCTGGAAATCTGGCAGAGTCATTCCAAGATGAAACATTTGTAGAATCATAGGCCTTGTTAGTCTCATCTACACAGGGACACATATCAACACATCATCTTTCACACTATAAATATACAGTCACTCCTCCATATCTGTGGGGTTTACAGTTCTTTATTGAACCGAGTATAAATCAAAAATATTCAGAGAAAGTATCCACAGAGTTACAAAAAGCAGAACTGTGTTGAATGGACACAAATGAAGCTGTGTGTAGGCTGCATCAGGAATTATAAGTAATCTAGAGATGATTTCATGTATACAGGAGGATGTGCATAGGTTATTTGCAAACTCTGTGCCATTTCATATAAGAGGCTTGAGCATCTACAGATTTTGGTATCTGAGTGGAGATCTCGAAACCAATCACCCACGAATAGTGAAGGATGACCGTATATGACTTTTATTTCTCAAATTTAAATATAAATCATAAAAAATGTACAACTAGATAAAAACTAAGAAGTGTTTTTATAGTGTGAGTTAGATTTATTTTTTCCTAGGTATAACCCATTGGTTTAATATTATTTATTGAGAAGACATT
This sequence comes from Homo sapiens, assembly GCF_000001405.40. Classification (NCBI taxonomy): domain Eukaryota; kingdom Metazoa; phylum Chordata; class Mammalia; order Primates; family Hominidae; genus Homo; species Homo sapiens. The sequence continues at coordinate 751,520 of NW_003571059.2, forward strand.
CTATGCCACCTTAAACCACACGGCAGCCTTTGTCAACTCTAAAGGGACTGTGTGTACACGGATGTACTTTAGACACTGTTTCTGCTAAGGGGCTCTCTGTGTCCACACTCTTGATGATGCTGCACTTTATGTAGCCTTATAGAACCCTTTAAATTTAGTAGCCAGAGCTCTCTAATTTGTTATTATAGGCTATTTGCTTTTTTTTCTTGAGGCGGAGTCTTGCTCTGTCGCCCAGGCTGGACTGCAGTGACACAATCTCAGCTCACTGCAACTTCTGCCTCCCAGGTTCAAGCGATTCTCATGCCTCAGCCTCTTGAGTAGCTGGCGTTACAGGTGCCTGCCACCAGGCACGGCTAATTTTTGGATTTTTAGCAGAGACACGGTTTCACTATATTGGCCAGGCTGCTCTCAAACTCCTTATCTCAGTTGATCCGCCCACCTCGGCTTCCCAACGTGCTGGGGAAACTTGATTTTCTATAGCATTATGTTACTGGATATTTCTGTAAAATTTAAAATGAGGGAGGGAGAGAGACAGACGGAAAACAAACTCCAGAGTTGGGACTCTGGAATCTTGGGTCATGAGACAAATTTTAGATTAAACTACAAAACTCCAGAATTTACAGGTGGGGTTTTTACTGATAAAGTACAATTCTAAGATTGTAAATAATTGCATAATCCTTCCCTGGGAATTTAAATCATTTTAACTGGTTCTGCTGTAATACTAGAAATACAAGCATGAAAAATTCTAATGGTTTATTAGTGACAATGACTCTGAAAACATTAATAATACCTATTAGATATTTTGCATATTACACAGGAAGAAGAGTTTGAATCTCAGATAAAAACAATAGAAATACATGAAAAGTCTTTCATGTTAGCACAGATTTTAGGCATCTCGTGTTCGGGAGGTTGGATCTCAGACGTGTTTTGAGTTGGTCATAGTGAAGGACACTAGGTGTCAAATTCTAGCGAGAACAATTTCCAGGAAGCCGTGTTCCGCTCTTGAGCGAGCACCCACTGGGCCTCATGCAAGGTAGAAAGAGCCTGCGTACGTCACCCTCCCATGATGTGGTCAACATGTAAACTGCATGGGCAGGGCGCCAAATAACATCCTGTGCGCTGCTGAGCTGAGCTCGGTCGCGGCTGCCTGTCTGCTCCGGCAGCACCATGTCGCTCTTGGTCGTCAGCATGGCGTGTGTTGGTGAGTCCTGGAAAGCAATAGAGGGAGGGAGTGAGGGGATGGAGATCTGGGCCCAGAGGTGGAGATATAGGCCTGGAGGTGGAGTTATGGGCCTGGAGTGGAGATCTGGGCCTGGAGTGGATATATGGGCCTAGAGATGGAGTGATGGGCCTAGAAGTGGAGATCTGGGCCCAGAGGTCGAGATATAGGCCTGGAGGTGGAGTGATGGGACTGTAGTGGAGATCTGGGCCTGGAGTGGAGATAGGAACCTGGAGGGGAGATAGGAACCTGGAGGGGAGATATGGGCCTGGAGGTGGAGATATGGGCCTGGAGTGGAGTCATGGGCCTGGAGGTGGAGTTATGGGCCTGCAGTAGAGATATGGGCCTGAAGTGGAGACATGGGCCTGGAGTGGAGATATGGGCCAGGAGTGGAGATATGGGCCTAGAGGTCGATATCTGGGCCTGGAGTGGAGATATGGGCCAGGAGTGGAGATATGGGCCTAGAGGTCGATATCTGGGCCTGGAGAGGAGATATGTGCCTAGGATGGAGATACGGGCCTGGGTGTGGAGATATGGGACTGGAGAGGATATATGGGCCTGGAGTGGAGATATGGGACTGGAGAGGAGATATGGACCTGGAGTGGAGATAAGGGCCTGGATTGGAGATATGGGCCCAGGGTGGAGATCTGAGCCTGGATTGGAGATATGGGCCTGGATTGGCGATATGGGCTTAGGGTGGAAATATCGGCCTGGAGTGGAGATATGGGCCTGGAGTGGAGATATGGGCTTGAGGTGGGGATATGGACCTGGAGGCTGGGTCTCTGCACAGCCGACAGCCCTGTTCTTGGGTGCAGGTAGGCACTGAGGGTGAGTTTACCTTCAGCCCAGGAAGGGCCTGGCTACCAAGACTCACAGCCCAGTGGGGGCAGCAAGGGTGCCCTGGTTTGCCTGCAGATGGGTCATCCATCATGATCTTTCTTTCCAGGGTTCTTCTTGCTGCAGGGGGCCTGGCCACATGAGGGTGAGTCCTTCTCCCAACCTTCGGGTGTCATCTCCCCACATAAGAGGATTTTCCTGAAATGGGAGGGAAGTCCTGTCAGGGAGTCTCTCATAAACTAGGAAGAAGGGACCCTGGGGTGCTGGGCCCACATTTCTGACCTTGCCTCCCTGGCCTTTCATTCCCTTGGCAGAGTCAAGTTCTGTGGGGACCAGGGTTAGACTACGGTGCTCAAAGCTGGGGTGTGTGGTGGGGAAGTGGTAGGAACAGCAGATCCTCTGAGGACAAAGGTGTTACTCACACACTTCAGCGTTTCCATGACGGTAGGGGCTGCAGTGTGGCTGCTGTCATTCTACCAGAAGAGGTGGGAAAACCACAGCCATGGCCCTGACATTCCAATCCTCTGATGGGGACTCAGTTGTTTATTTTCGTTCAGGCATCGGCTGATATTCCATTCTCAAAGGACATGCCCTCCACCCCATGTCTACCCTGTGTTGTTTTATGTGAGTAATCTTACAGTATTAAAATCTAGTAGGAGTCTCTTACTCAGCACTTGCTCAAAGTTCTCAGCTGACACTTTTGTTGTAGGGAGACACCTTGTGTTTGCGGGATGGGTCCTTCCTTTAGCCCTGGGCACCAAGGTGTGATAGCAGCCATAGAAACTTGGAAAGCGAGGAGAATCTTCAGAGCACAGGGAGGGAGGGGCGGCTCCACATCCTCCTCTCTAAGGCGGTGCCTCCTTCTCCCCACGGTGGTCAGGACAAGCCCTTGCTGTCTGCCTGGCCAAGCCCTGTGGTGCCTCCAGGACATGTGATTCTTCAGTGTCATTCTTATCTTGGGTTTAACAACTTCAGTCTGTAAAAGGAAGATGGGGTGCCTGTCCCTGAGCTCTACAACATAATATTCTGGAACAGCCTTTTCATGGGCCCTGTGACCCCAGCACACGCAGGGACCTATACATGTCGGGGTTCACAACCACACTACCCCAGTGGGTGGTCGGCACCCAGCAACCCCCTGGAGATCACGGTCACAGGTCAGAGGGCTCCTGTCTGGGATTCTCCTTGTCCCACCTCCTGAATCCCAGAGCTCCTGGTGGGCGTGTCCTTGCGGGTCCCATCATGCAAGTCCTGACTGTATTTGGGGTAAAGGGGGATTGAATACAGGGAAATGGGTGCTGTGGTGGGAAGAATAATTGTCCCCAGTGATGACTACATTCTAATCCCTGGAGTCTGTGACTATTTATGATATAGGGGAAGGGACTGAAGGAGAAGATGGAGCTCAGGTTGTTGATGAGTTGACCTTGAGATGGGGAGACAGCCTGGACTGTCCTGATGGGCTCAGTGTAGTCACAGGGGTCCACAGGAAAGGAGGAGGAAGAGGGGAGTGGGGATTACAGCAGCATAATGGGAGTCTCCATCAGCTTTGAAGGTGGAGGAAGTCCAGGAGCCATGAATGCAGGTGGCCTATAGAGGCTGGAAAAGTCAAGGAACTGATTCTCCTGAGTCTCCAGAGGGAACGAAGCCCTGCAGGTACCTTGATTTTACCCACGACAAACAGGGTCCGATTTCTGTCTCCAGAATTGGAAGGGGTTAGTGTGCTCTCTCCTGCTGCCATGCTTCTGATAATTTTCTACAGCAGCAACAGGAAACCAACACTGGAACCCAGGTCAAGGACAAGTTAAGAAACAACACAAGGATAGCCAGGCATGGTGGCAGGTGCATGTAATCCTAGCGACTTGGGAGGCTGAGGGCAGGAGAATCACTTGAACCCAGGAGACAGAGGTTGCAGTAAGCCTAGACCACACCACTTCACTCCAGCCTGGGCAAAGGAGTGAGACTCTGTCGCCAAAATTAATTAATTAATTAAAGAAACCAAACAAGGAGAAGGTTGGCTACACTGAGATCAGCAAGGCTCGGATGATGATGCCACCACCAGGCTCCATCCACATAGGGAGCGGTTGATACTCCTCCAACCAGCACCAGGAGCCAGGCTATGGAAGCTGGCACTGGCATGGCAAGAGTGTCTCCCAGTCCCTACCAGGAACAGGGTGTGTGGCCACTGGTGCCTGCCTTACTGATCAGTTCATACCTCCTGCCAAGGATTCCAATTCGTCCAAAAGAGATTGAACCAGGCTGCTAAGAGCCTGGATGTGCAGCCTATCCTGGTTCCTCTTCCACCCCCACACAGACAGCAGGAAAGACATTAGTTCGAAATAGATACAACAGCCCAAGAGATGAGGCTGAGCCCAGCGGCAAGGGAATCAGAGGCTACTAGAGACAGAGGGACAGAGAAGAGTGAGGGAGACAGATGGAAGGACCTGCACCAGGAGTTATGGGCACAGAAAAGAACATGAAGACACAGAGAGGAAGGAGAGAGATAAGACACCAGGAAGGGGAAGCCTGACTCAATCCAGGTGCCATGGATGGGATGATAAAGAGAGACACCTTCTAAACTCACAACCTCTCTTCCTAGGAGTCCACAGAAAACCTTCCCTCCTGGCCCACCCAGGTCGCCTGGTGAAATCAGAAGAGACAGTCATCCTGCAATGTTGGTCAGATGTCATGTTTGAACACTTCCTTCTGCACAGAGAGGGGATGTTTAACGACACTTTGCGCCTCATTGGAGAACACCATGATGGGGTCTCCAAGGCCAACTTCTCCATCAGTCGCATGAAGCAAGACCTGGCAGGGACCTACAGATGCTACGGTTCTGTTACTCACTCCCCCTATCAGTTGTCAGCTCCCAGTGACCCTCTGGACATCGTGATCATAGGTGAGAGTGTCCAGACTTTCTTCTCATTGTCATTGGGATGCAGAGTGAATGATCCAGGACTTGGAGGCCCAGGTGGCTGTAAGGAAGATGAGCTTGGTATTCTTATGGAGAGAGACTGACTTGGTGAGGTCTGTGCCAACAGAGACAGAGAAACAGGAGACACAAGTAGAGACCAGGTGTCATAACAGAGAACAGACACAGGGGCCATACCGGGAGTTTGAAAAGACAGAAAGAGTTAAAGGAAACACACAGACAGACATGTCCCAGAGAGAGGTGTCCCTCCATGCTGACTTTGCTCAGAGACCTGGCACAGGTTAGAAGTTTCATTTCTGTTTTACCTCCACAAAGTGTTCTCTACCAGGAGAACCCAAGGACACCCATATTTCTGACCTGAGTTGGGCCCTGTGGCCTCAGGCCTTGTGGCACCTACAGATGCCATGTTTATTCTGACACCTCTGCCTTCCATGTAATGGAGAGTAATCGTCCCAGGATATCATGGCCCCACAACACCAACCCCTGTATGCTGTGTGAACTTGTAGTCTCCAGACTGGATTCTGAGGCTCATATTCCAAATAAGCCCACTTATGAGAGGATCAGTGAGAGGCACAGAGAGAAATCAGGGACACCAAAAAGCAAAGACATAAACACACAGAGAATGAGCCAGAGGAAGGAGATTGAGAGACTCACAGACACATAAAGAGAAAAGAGGGCAGAGAAGTGAGAATGATGGAAGGGAGCAGAGAAAAGCACTAAAATTAGACTCCTGAGGGAGAGGCACAAGGACATTGAAAGATGGAGATGTGGGGATGAATTGCAGAGATTCCAAAGAGAACTAGAGAGACCGAGAGGCAGAGCAAGACAGATGATAGATGGATAGATATAGATAGATGATAAATAGGTAGATGATAGATAATAGGTTATAGATACATAGATGATGATTGATTGATTCATTAATAGATGAGACATAGAGATGATGATGATGAAGACAGATAGATAGATAATACATAGAGATACAGAGGCAGACATAGAGAAATCATAGAGAGAGAGAGATGATACATAGATATAGATAATAGATGATTGATGGATAGATAGACAATTGATGGATAAATAGATGATATATAGATATAGATGACAGGTAGAGAATTTGTAGATAGGCACCGAATAGATAAATAGATAGATCGATAGATAATAGATAGAAATATGCAGAAAGTTATGAACAGGACACAAAGTGAGAAACTCAGAATTAAAAAAAGTAACATCAAGTCAACCAATCCAAGGAGAGTCAGAGAGAATAAAACAATCCAAAAAGAGAAAACATATCTAGAGGTGGGGAAGTGAGGTCAGAGACCTAAAGAGACAGAGAAGGTGGAAGGAGGAAATAGACATGAAGAGCGATGGGGTAGAGGGTGAGAGAGAGAGAGAGAGAGCATTAGGTCATAGAGCAGGGGAGTGAGTTCTCAGCTCAGGTGAAGGGAGCTGTGACAAGGAAGATCCTCCCTGAGGAAACTGCCTCTTCTCCTTCCAGGTCTATATGAGAAACCTTCTCTCTCAGCCCAGCCGGGCCCCACGGTTCTGGCAGGAGAGAATGTGACCTTGTCCTGCAGCTCCCGGAGCTCCTATGACATGTACCATCTATCCAGGGAAGGGGAGGCCCATGAACGTAGGCTCCCTGCAGGGACCAAGGTCAACGGAACATTCCAGGCCAACTTTCCTCTGGGCCCTGCCACCCATGGAGGGACCTACAGATGCTTCGGCTCTTTCCGTGACTCTCCATACGAGTGGTCAAAGTCAAGTGACCCACTGCTTGTTTCTGTCACAGGTGAGGAAAGCCCATGGCTGTCCCATGTCCTATGATCCTAGAGCCTTAGCTGAGGAGCTTCCTGCTGATGATGGAGAGAAGCATGGACAGATGCAGAGAGAAGACGCAGCCTCGGTGTGAGGGAGGGATCAGGGCACAGGATGGCCGACAGGGCACCTCCAAACCCTCCTACATGGCCTGCATGGAGGCCCACGGCCAGGGCTCCAGGCACCCAGGCAGATGGAGAAAGCGGTCAGGAGAGACCCAGAGGAGGGAGACTGGGCTCAGTTTGGGGAGATCAGAGGTTCCCTCAGCCCCTCAACCTTACCCATTTCCCAGAAGCCCATCCTGGCCTCTCACCCACACAGAGATGTCATCACCAGCAACCCCTACACCCTTTACTTTTCTTTGAAGAAATATTTATTGAGGATAAATATACCTATATAGCTTACCACTTTTAACATTTTTTTTTGAGGTGGAGTCTAGCTGTGTCCCCTATGCTGGAGTGCAGTGGCACAATCTCAGCTCACTGCAACCTCCACCTCCTGGGTTCAAGCGATTCTCCTGCCTCAGCCACCTGAGTAGCTGGTGCTACAGGCACGCACCACCACGCCAGGCTACTTTTTGTATTTTTAGTAGGGAGGTGGTTTCACCATGTTGGTCGAGCTGGTCTCGAACTCCTGACCAAGTGATCCACCCGCATCTGCCTCCCAAAGTGCTGGGATTACAGGCATGGGCCACCGCGCCCAGCCACATTTACCATTTTTAAGTGTAAAGTCTAGTGGTCATAAATACATTTATATACATATATATATATATACATTTTTTTTACCCTCCACCCTTTTCTTCCTGTCCTCCAGTAGCCACCATTCTACTCTCTACCTTCATGAGATCCACCTTTTAGCTCCTGTATATGGGTGAGAAATGGGAATCTTTGTAATGACCTCCAGTTCCATCCATGTGGCTGCAAATGACAGGATGTTATTCTTTCTATGGATGAGTAGTCTCCACTATGCGTATGTACTACATTCTCTCTATCCATTTACCCACTGATGGGCAGGTAGGTTGACTCCTCATCTTGGCTACTGTGAACAGTGCTGCACCAATCATACGAGTGCAGATATCACTTCGATATATTGATTTACTTTCCTTTGGATATAAACCCAGTAGTGAAATTGCTGGATACTATGAAAGTTCTCTTTTTTTCTTTTTTTCTTTTTTGAGAAAGAGTTTCCCTCCTTAGCCCAAGCTGGAGTCAAAGTGGTGCGACCTTGGCTCATTGCAACCTACGCCTCCTGGGTTCAAATGATTTTCCTGCCTCAGCCTCCCTAGTAGCTGGGATTACAGGTGCACACCACCATGCCTGGCTACTTTTTGGTTTTTTTAGTATAGATGGGGTTTCCCCATGTTGGCTGGGCTGCTCTCAAACTCATGACCTCAACTGAGGTGCCCGCCTCAGTCTCCCAAAGTGCCGGGATTACAGGCATGATCCACCGCACCCAACCTCTTTTTAGTTCTTTAAAGGACTTCCATACTTTTCTCCGTAATGGCTGTACTAATTTACACTCCTCCCAACAGGGTACCAGGGTTCTCCTTTCTCTACCACCTTGCCAGCATTTCTTTTGCCTGTCTTGCAGCTAAAAGCCATTTTATTTTATTTCATTTTATTTTGAGATGGAGTTTTGCTCTTCTCACCCAGGCTGGAGTGCAGTGGCGCGATCTCGGCTCACCACAACCTCCACCTCCCAGGTTCAAGCGATTCTCCTGCCTCAGCCTCCCGAGTAGCTGGAATTACAGGCACACGCCACCACGCCCGACTAATTTTTGTATTTTTAGTAGAGACAGTGTTTCTCTATGTGGGTCATACTGGTCTCAAACTCCCGACCTTATGAGATTCACCCACCTCAGGCTCTCAAAGTTCTAGGATGACAAACGTGAGCCACCTCACCCGGCCTAAAAGCCATTTTAATGGGGTGAGATGAAAACTCACTTTGAATTTAATTTGCGTTTCTCTGATGATGAGTGATACTGAGCAGTTTTTCGTATGTGGGGAAATTTCATGTCTTTTGCTCCTTTTTCAATTAAATCATTTGTTTTATTGAGTTGTTTGAGCTTCTTATATTTCTAGTTATTAATCCCATCTCAGATGCATAGTTTGCACATATTTGCTCCCAATCTGTGGGTTGTCTCTTCACTTTGTTGGTTTATTTTTAGCGGTGCAGAAGTTGCTTAGTATGAGGTAATCCCAATGGTCTATTTTTGCTTCGATTACTTGTGTTTTCAAGGTTTAAAACAAAATGTCTTTCTTCAGACAAATGTCCTGGAGCATTTCCCCAATATTTTGTTCTACGTGTTTCATAGGTTCAGGCCTTAGACTCACATCTTTAATCCATTTTCATTTGATTTTTGTGTATGGTGACAGGTAGAGGTGCAGTTTCATTCCTCTGCATGTAGATGTCCAGGTTTCCCTGCACTGTTTATTGAAAAGACTGTCCTTTCCTGATTGTGAGTTCTTGGCATCTTTGTCAAAGTCCATTGGATGGGCTGGGCTTGGTGGCTAACACCTGCAATTTCAGCACTTTGGGAGCCCGAGGTGGGTGGATCACCTGAGGCCAGGAGTTCAAGATTAGTCTGGCCGACGTGATGAAACATCATCTCCACTAAAAATATAAAAATTAGCTGAGCATGGTGGTCAGCACCTGTAATACCACTACTCAGGAGTTTGAGGCAAGAGAATGATTGAACCCAGGAGGCTGAGGTTGCAGTGAACCGAGATTGCACCTTTGCACTCCAGCCTGAGTGACAGAGCAAGACTCCATCTCAAAAGAAAAAATAAAAAACCATTGGATGTAAATGCATGGAATATATCTGTGTTATTCATTCTGCTCCGTTGTTCTATGTGCCTTTCTTTATGCCAGTGTCATGCTATTTTGCTTACTACAGCTCTGTAACATATTTTGAGATCAGGTAGTGTGATGCTCCTGTTTTCTCTTTATACCTTGAAGTCTCAAGACAGTGGGTGTCACATAAAAAAATTATGGAAAAAAGGATCCCAGGACTCCCAGGGCCCAATATTAGATAACAGAGTGTTGGCCATGAACCATCCTCAAAGATTTCCACTGAGTGGAGGACAGAAACCCTCATTTCCTCACCTCTCTCCTGTCTCATGTTCTAGGAAACCCTTCAAATAGTTGGCCTTCACCCACTGAACCAAGCTCCGAAACCGGTGAGTACAGAACCCTCTTATATCCGCTTTTGGAAACCTGGGGAGGTGGAAACCTTGGATTCAGGCGTTGACTCAGCATCTCACAGCTCTGACATTGTACACCTGTCTTCCACCATCTCCGAACTCCAGATACTCCTACAGCGAAAGGGATCTGGGCCCAACACAGGGCTCAGTGAAATCTCTTCATCTCTCATTTTATGGAGCTGAGACCTCCTACAAGCTAGAAGAATGATTGCCAATCTGACATCCTTCTCAGGAAAAATGCAATGTTTGTTCTGCCTGCATTCCTAACTGGAGGATAAATTCCTGGAGACTTGAGAGAGGGAAGGGAAGGGAACATCTGATGAGGGCGAGGTGTTTTAGAGAAGTTCCACTTGCCAAGGAATGAGCTCCTGTAGGTCATGAAGCAACCCTGGCTGACTCAGCAGAGCAAGAGCCTTGCCGTAACAGAGAACAGAGCTCATGCACACACACTTCGACTCACTGACTCATTCAGCCACGGCCCCATGCTCAGGCTGTGCAGTGCGGAACCTTTTCCTATTGTTGCCATAACAAATTTCCACAAGATTCGTGGGTGAAAACAAAACGGTTTTTTAATTATCTTACAGTGCTGTAGCTCAAAGTAGGAAGTGCATCTTACTGGGCTAAAATCAAGGTGACAGCAAGGCTGCCTTCCCTCTGAGGATTCCAGGCACGAATCTGCTTCTCACTTGTCCCAGCTTCTAAAGGCTCCCAGTTCCTTGGCTCCTGGTCCCCTTCCTCCTTCCTCAAAGCCCACAAAGACTGGTCACATCTCACATGGCATCACTCAGTGCCTTCTTCCTTACCACACTTCTTTCTCTGAATGCTGCTCTCCCTTCTTCCTCATCTTTTGAAAACTTGGGGATTCTATTGGGTTCACCAAGATGAAAATCCCTCATAATCTCCTGGAAATCATCCAGGATACCCTTGTTTTAAGTTCAGCTGATTAGTAACCATAATTCCATCTGCAATCTTCATTCCTCCTTTCCATGTAAAATAACATATTCACAAGCTATGGAGGCTAGGACAGGGACATTTTGGGGTGGGACAGCATTCTCCTGCCTTCCACAAACAGTGAACAAGATGCATTTGGCCTCTGCCCTTGGGACACTGATATTGCAGATGGTTAAATGGGAGGGCAGAAAATGAATGCACAAGTGGATCTATAAATGAATGATCCATTGGGAAGCATCTGTGCATGAAATCTATTTTTTGTTTGTTCTTTTGTTTATTGAGACAGAGTTGCCCTCTGTCTTCCAGGCTACAGTGCAGTGTCACGATCTTGGCTCACTGCAACCTGCTTCTCCTGGATTCAAGTGATTCTCCTGCCTCCGCCTCTCGAGTAGCTGGGATTACAGGCAACTGCCACCGTGCCCGGCTAATTCTTTTTGTATATTTTTTGTAGAGAGGATGTTTCACCACGTTGGCCAAGCTTGTCTGAAACTCCCAACCTCAAGTGATCCGACCGTCTCAGCATGCCAAAGTAATGGGACTACAGGCGTGAGCCACTGTGCCCAGCCAGAATTCAAAATCAATAATAGATAATGCTGAGTGTATGATTTCAGGTGACAAAGAAGGTCTCACTATTCAGATATTTGTGACATTAATGAAAAACACGGATTGAACCCCTGAAAGATTGGCGGAAGGATTTTGCACACACAGCTGTCAGCCGTGAAGGCACAAAGGTGAAAACAATCTGATGTGGAAGGAAGAGGCTCTTCCTCAAATGCTGGGAATGAGGTGGGGAGAATGACAAGACGACTGTGGAGAGACGGAGAGCACACTGGGTACACAGGAAACTAAGGAGCAACAAGGAGTGTGTGTTTGACACTCACAGCCATTGGATTCACCTCGGGGTAACCAGGAATCCCTACATGATTAATATGACTGACATGAAAATAAAGGAGGCCCAGGGGCGTAACTGGAATCTAGGAGACCGTGGAAAAGGCAATTCCCGACCCACTGGTGAAATGTGGTGCTGATTTTGACACTAAGTGGATGAAGCAGATGGATATAAGCTATGCTTGTGAGGTAGAATCATTGGCTGGAAAGGCTTGCTGGGTTTGATTTTCCTACTTGTTTAATCCTCGCTTAATTAATTTCTTTCTGAGATTTATTCATCCTACACATAAATCAATACCTGGCAAAGGAGTGACAGATATATGAGGGGTGGTGGAAATGAAGAGACCTATTATAGCGTAATATACAAGTCTGTGAACGGTGGCTCACGCTTGTAACCCAGCACTGCAGGAGGCCAAGGCGGGTGGATTCCATGAAGTCAGGAGTTCCAGACCAGCCTGGCCAACATGGTGAAACCCTATCTGTACTAAAAATACAAAAATTAGCCGAGCATGGTGGTGCATCCCTGTAATCCCAGCTCCTACTCTGGAGGATGAAGCAGGAGAATGACTTCAACCCAGGAGGTGGAGGTTGCAGTGAGTGGAGATTGCATCACTGCACTCCAGCCTGGGTGACACAAGGAGACTCCGTCTCAAAAAATAAAAATAAGAAATGCATAAATATAATAAAACACACACGAATGACAAAGGCACCTGAATTCCAATCATCATTTTTCTATTTCTCTATAATTACTTCTTTGATCCTTTATCTTATCCATTAGGCAATGAGCCTAAAACCTCTTCCCTATTTGGCTTTCTGTGAGCATGAGATCACATAGAAAATGTGAAAGCCCGCTGAATCCTCCAGCACGGATCCTGGAATAGAGAAAGTGCTCTGTTCATCGCAAAAAAAAACTTGCCCACTCACCCAAATCCCCCACCTCACCCCTACTTCCAATCACCTGTGGAGATTCAGATAGACCATGGGGAGGAAACATTAATACTCCTTGGAGTGAGTCCAGATCTTGGAATCAGAGATCAGCGACAGCACTAGCTCCTGTTCCCCTTTCCTACTAATTCACAGGAGGACAGGTGGTATTGAAGCAATAGATGGTGGAGGGGGTGGTCCTTCCCCCAGCCTCTCGGGTAGAACAGCAGCCTAACATGTGTCTCCCGAGATCACAAAGAGCAGCACATTTCACACGGGCTTCAACACTATTTTCTGGCTGTTTGACATAAGAGAATCTTGCTTCGCTATTTTTAATCGTGATTTCACCTTTGTTTCCTTTCCTTGGTGAATGCAATTTGTTTGACTCAAGAATGCTGTGGATGTAGAAATCCTAAAGCACATTCGCTGTGTATCAATCCCAGTGCAGTCTTCCCAGAGAAGACTCTAAACAAATCCTGGACTGCACCTGGGCCTATGCCAATTCCTATCACTCACCGTCACTCCAGGGAGACAGAACACACAGAGAATACGTTACATAGGCAGGTTCATTACTAACAGATAAGCAGTGAGTGACAACAGAAGCCTGCATTTCAATGTGAGCCAGTCCCTCAAGGCTCAGAAAAGCTGCTCGGGACATATGGAGTCACCCCATTTGCAGTGTAACTGGGGGAAGCCAGAAAGCAGCCCAGCCTGGGTTTTGTACCCTGGAGCCACAGGAAGCACTCAGCTAAAGCACTGCATGACGTCCTCCTCCAGGAAGAACAGGAAGACAGCCCAGGCTGTTCTGAGACATTCCTCCTGATCTCAGGATGTTGCTATCTTAGTCCATTTTTGTTGCTCTAAAGGAACACTTGAGCCTGGGTAACTTCTAAAGAAAAGAGATTGGTTTGCCTCACAGTTCTGCAGGCTGTACTGGAAGCATGGCACCAGAATCTATTTCTCGTGATGGCCTCAGGCTGCTCCCACTCTGGCAGAAGGGAAGGAGGGTCTGTCTGTGCAGAGACCGCAGAGATCACACGGCAAGAGAGAGAGTAAGGGGGAGAGGGAGCGATGGAGCTTCCAAGCTCTTTTTAACAACCAGCTCTCCAGGAACTAACAGAGGGGGAACTTGCTAACCCCGTCTCCTTGGGACAGCATTGGTCTGTTCATGATGGATCCACCTCCATGACCCAAACACCTCTGAAGAGGCCCAACCTCCCACAATGGGGGTGAAATTTCAATGTGAGGTTTGAAAGGGTCAAACATCTCAACTAAAGTAGTTGTATCCTCAGCACGTTCTATGGTTACTATGAGAGCTATAATTGAGAAAGCAGGGGAAAGCTAGGTCTCCCGCCATTTGGGTGCTTGTCCTAAAGAGACGTTGTATGTGGTTACCTGCCAATCAAGAAATGCGAGACAATTCATAAAGAGGAACTGCTATGATTAGCTTCTTATTGGTGTCTCCTCTTCTTCCAGGTAACCCCAGACACCTACATGTTCTGATTGGGACCTCAGTGGTCAAAATCCCTTTCACCATCCTCCTCTTCTTTCTCCTTCATCGCTGGTGCTCCGACAAAAAAAGTAAGTCTCACGAAGCAGAGGCCAGAGAGCTCAGGGCCATGTGGGGAAGCAGGATGGGAGCACGCGGATGTGTGTTCCTCACCAGCAGGATGGTCCCTGGCCCAAGACAGGAGCCACAGAGGCAGGACTTTCTAGAGAGAGCACCAGATTCCCTTCCCCTGCCTTCAGCTCACAGACCATTGCCTGATTCTGAACTGTATCCTCACGTCCCCTGCAGCCACTCACATCCAGGAGAAGGTTCCATGACAGGCAGAAAGTGGGAGATAGAATCAATGGGATGGGACCTCAGAGCTATTCATGGGATGGGTCCTTGAACTCAGAGAGATAGAATGTCTGAGTCTGCTGTTGGCAACTGAGGGACCTCAGGCACCTATGGCCTCCCCCTGTTTGTTGGTATCTGCTTATGAAATGAGGACCCAGAAGTGCCCTCCGAGCTCTTTTGTTGACTTCCGTCTTCTACAGATGCTGCTGTAATGGACCAAGAGCCTGCAGGGAACAGAACAGTGAACAGCGAGGTAGGTGCTCCTCGGCCCAGCCTCGTGGCTAGTCTTATTCCCAAAGAGTCCTGAAAAATGTGAGCACCCTCCCTCACTCAGCATTTCCCTCTCTCCAGGATTCTGATGAACAAGACCATCAGGAGGTGTCATACGCATAATTGGATCACTGTGTTTTCACACAGAGAAAAATCACTCGCCCTTCTGAGAGGCCCAAGACACCCCCAACAGATACCAGCATGTACATAGAACTTCCAAATGCTGAGCCCAGATCCAAAGTTGTCTTCTGTCCACGAGCACCACAGTCAGGCCTTGAGGGGATCTTCTAGGGAGACAACAGCCCTGTCTCAAAACCGGGTTGCCAGCTCCCATGTACCAGCAGCTGGAATCTGAAGGCATCAGTCTTCATCTTAGGGCATCGCTCTTCCTCACACCACGAATCTGAACATGCCTCTCTCTTGCTTACAAATGTCTAAGGTCCCCACTGCCTGCTGGAGAGAAAACACACTCCTTTGCTTAGCCCACAATTCTCCATTTCACTTGACCCCTGCCCACCTCTCCAACCTAACTGGCTTACTTCCTAGTCTACCTGAGGCTGCAATCACACTGAGGAACTCACAATTCCAAACATACAAGAGGCTGCCTCTTAACACAGCACTTAGACACGTGCTGTTCCACCTCCCTTCAGACTATCTTTCAGCCTTCTGCCAGCAGTAAAACTTATAAATTTTTTAAATAATTTCAATGTAGTTTTCCCGCCTTCAAATAAACATGTCTGCCCTCATGGTTTCGGTAACGAGACTCTTTTCTTGCCTAAGGCTTCCGGTGTTATCATTACCATGTCCACATAACCCCATCTGTTCTCCATTGGGTTCTCAGCCCTGGACTCTGAGCTTCTGGAAGCAGAATGGAGCCTGATTTGTCTCTGAGACTCCAATTTCCATCCAAAGATACAGCACATAGGAGGCTCCAAGGATCGTGAATCACATGAACAAGTGATATTCTTACTCTCTGCAGACCTGGAAAGCTGGCAGAGTCATTCCACGATGAAACATTTGTAGAGTCATAGGCCTTGTTAGCCTCATCTCCACGGGGACACATATCAACATATCATCTTTCATAATATAAATATACAGTCGGTCCTCCATATCTGTGGGGTTTACAGGTGTTTATTGAACCAACAATAAATCAAAAATGTTTTCAGAAAAAAATCCCCGAAGTTTCAAGAAGCAAAAAACTATGTTGAATCGACACAAATTGAGTGGCGTGTAGGCTGTGTCAGGAATTATAAGTAATCAAGAGATGATTTCATGTATACAGGAGGATGTGCATGGGTTCTATGCAATTACTATGCTATTTTTTTTTTTTGAGACAGTCTCACTCTCTCACCCAGGCTGGAGTGCAGTGGCATGATCTCAGCTCACTGCAACCTCCGCCTCCCAGGTTCAAGCGATTGTCTTCCCTCAGCCTCCCCAGTAGCCTCCCCTAGGATTACAGGCACGTGCCACCATGCACAGATAAATTTTTTTGTGTGTGTATTTTTAGTAGAGATGGGGTTTCAGAATGTTGGACCAGCTGGTCTTGAACTCCTGACCTCGTGATCTACCCAACTCAGCCTCCCAAAGTGCTGGGATTACAGGCGTGAGCCACGGTGCCCAGCTTCGCTATGCCATTTCATGCAAGGGGCTTGAGCATCTGCAGATTTTGGTATCTGAATGGGGATCCTGGAACCAATCACCCAGGAATAGTGAAGGACCACAGTATATAATTTTTATTTGTCAATCTTAAAAATAAAGCATAAAAAGTTTACAACAACAAGATAAAAAATAAGAAGTGTTTTTATAGTGTGAGGATAAGTTTAGATTTATTTTTTCCTACGTGTAACCCTATGGTCCTGTGTTATTTATTGAGAAAATATTCTATTCCACCTTAAACTACATGGCAGCCTTTGTCAACTATGAAGGGACTGTGTATCCACAGATGTATTTTAGACACAGTTTTCTGCCCAGTGGTTCTCTGTATCCCCTCTCATGAGGATGCTGCATTTCATATAAACTTATAGAACCCCTTAAAATTTGGTAACCTGAGTTCTCTGATTTGTTATTATAGGTTATTTAGTTTGCTTTTTTTTTTCTTTCTTGAGACAGACTCTTCCTCTGTCACCCAAGCTGGAGTTCAGTGGCTTGAGCTCAGCTCACTGCAGCCTCCGCCTCCCAGGTTCAAGCAATTCTCGTGCCTCAGGTTTAGTACTAGAAACTCATCAGGAAAATTAGAATGGCTTTTTGTCACAATTACTCTGATAATGTTAATAATACCTCTTAGATATTTTGCACATTACACATGAAGAAAAGTTTGAATCTCAGATAAAAACAAAAATACATCAAAAGTCTTTAATGTAAGCACAGAATTCAATCACCTCATGTGTGAGAGGTTGGATCTGAGACGTCTTTTGAGTCTGGTCATAGTGAAGGATGCAAGGTGGCAATTGTAGTCACAACAATTTCCAGGAAGCCATGTTCCGCTCTTGAGCGAGCACCCACTGGGCCTCATGCAAGGTAGAAAGAGCCTGCGTACGTCACCCTCCCATGATGTGGTCAACATGTAAACTGCATGGGCAGGGCGCCAAATAACATCCTGTGCGCTGCTGAGCTGAGCTGGGGCGCGGCCTCCTGTCTGCACCGGCAGCACCATGTCGCTCACTGTCGTCAGCATGGCGTGCGTTGGTGAGTCCTGGAAGGGAATAGAGGGAGGGAGAGTGGGGATGGAGATCTCGGCCTAGAGGTAAAGATATGGGCCTGGAGTGGAGATATGGGCCTGGAGTGGAGATATGGGCCTGGGTGTGGAGATATGGGCCTGGAGGTGTAAATATGGGCCTGGAGTGGAGATATGGGCCTGGAGGGGAGATATGGGCCTGGGTGTGGAGATATGGGCCTGGAGTGGAGATACGGGCCTGGAGTGGAGATATGGGCCTGGAGTGGAGATATGGGCCTGCAGGTGGAGATCTGGGCCTGGAGTGGAGATATGGGCCTGGAGTGGAGATATGGGTCTGATGTGGAGATATGGGCCTGGAGTGGAGATATGGGCCTGGAGTGGAGATATGGGCCTAGAGGGGAGATCTGGGCCTGGAGTGGAGATATGGGTCTGATGTGGAGATATGGGCCTGGAGTGGAGATATGGGTCTGATGTGGAGATATGGGCCTGGAGTGGAGATAGGGGCCTGGAGTGGAGATATGGGCCTGGAGTGGAGATCTGGGCCAGGAAGTGTTGATCTGGGCCTGGAGCCTGGGTCTCTCCACAGCTGAGAGCCCTGTTCTTGGCAGCAGGTAGCAGGGAGGCTAAGTTTACCTTCAGCCCAGCAAGGGCCTGGCTGCCAAGACACACAGTGCAGTGGGGGCAGCAGGGTGCCCTGGTTTGCCTGCAGTTGGATCGTCTATCATGATCTTTCTTTCCAGGGTTCTTCTTGCTGCAGGGGGCCTGGCCACTCATGGGTGAGTCCTTCCCCAAACCTTAGGGTGTCATCTCCCCACATAAGAGGATTTTTCTGAAACAGGAGGGAAGTCCTGTCGGGGAGTCTCTCATAAACTAGGAAGAGGGGACCCTTGGATACTCGGCCCACATTTCTGACCTCGCCCTCCCCGGCCTTTCTTTCCCTTTCCTGAGTCAAGCTCTGTGAAGACTGGGGTGAGACTGGGGTGCTCCAAGCTGGGGTGTGCAGGGAGGAAGTGGTGTCAGCAGCAGAGAAAGAGAGGGAAGCAGTGCTAGGAACAGCAGGTCCTCTGAGGACAAAGGTATAACTGACACCCTCCAGCGTTTCCGTGACGGTAGGGACTGCAGTGTGGCTGCGGTCTTTCTACCAGAAGAGGGGGGAAACCACAGCCATGGCCCTGACATTCCAAATCCTCTGAGGGGGCTCAGTTCATGAATTGGCTGATATTCCATTCACATAGGACATGCCCTCCATGCCGTGTCTACTTTGTGTTGTTTTATGTGAGTAATTTTGCAGTATTAAAATCTAGTAAGAGTCACTTATTCAGCACTTGCTCAAAGTTCTCAGCTGACACTTGTTGTAGGGAGACGCCATGTCTATGTGGGGTGGGTCCTTCCTGTAGCCCTGGGCACCCAGGTGTGGTAGGAGCCTTAGAAAGTGGAAATGGGAGAATCTTCTGAGCACAGGGAGGGAGGGGTGGCTCCACATCCTCCTCTCTAAGGCAGTGCCTCCTTCTCCCCCAGGTGGTCAGGACAAACCCTTCCTGTCTGCCCGGCCCAGCACTGTGGTGCCTCGAGGAGGACACGTGGCTCTTCAGTGTCACTATCGTCGTGGGTTTAACAATTTCATGCTGTACAAAGAAGACAGAAGCCACGTTCCCATCTTCCACGGCAGAATATTCCAGGAGAGCTTCATCATGGGCCCTGTGACCCCAGCACATGCAGGGACCTACAGATGTCGGGGTTCACGCCCACACTCCCTCACTGGGTGGTCGACACCCAGCAACCCCCTGGTGATCATGGTCACAGGTCAGAGGCTTTCTGTCTGGGCTTCTCACTGTCCCACCTCCTGAATCCCAGAGCTTCTGGTGGGGGTGTCCATCAGGGTCCCATCACCCAGGCCCCAACTGTATTTGGGGTCAAGGGGGATTGAATACAGGGGAAATGGGCGCTGTGGTGGGAAGAATCACTGTCGCCAATGATGGCTACATTGTAAACCCTGGAGCCTGTGACTATTTATGTTATAGGGCAGGGGACTGAAGGGGAAGGTGGAGCTCAGGTTGTTGATGAGTTGACCTTGAGATGGGGAGACAGCCTGGACTGTCCTGCTGGGCTCAGTGTAATCACAAGGGTCCGCGTGAGAGGTGGAGGAAGAGGGGAGTGGGGATTAGAGCAGTGTAGTGGGAGGGAGACGCTATCAGCCACTGTGGGCTTTGAAGGTGGAGGAAGGCCACTAGTCACAGAATGCAGGTGGCCTCTAAGGGCTGGAGAAGTCAAGAGAACTGATTCGCTGAGTCTCCAGAGGGAACGCAGCCCTGCAGATGCCTTGATTTCAGCACAGGGAGAACTGGATCCAATTTCTGTCCCCAGAAGTGGAAGGGGTCAGTGTGTTCTCTCCTGCTGCCATGTTTGTGATAATTTTCTGCAGCAGCAACAGGAAACCGACACAGGAACCCAGGTCAAGGACAAGCTAGGAAACCAAACAAGGATAGCCAGGTGTGGTGGTGGGCACGAGTAATCCAACGACTGGGGAGGCTGAGGCAAGAGAATCACTTGAACCGGGGAGGCAGAGGTTGCAGTGAGCCAAGACAACACCACTGCACTCCAGCCTGGGTGAAAAAGTGACTGTCTCAAAAATAAATTAATTAATCAATTAATTAAAGAAACCAAACAAGGAGAAGGTTGGCTACCGTGGGATCAGCAAGGGTGGGATGCTGATGCCACCACCAGGCTCCATCCACATAGGAAGGGGTTGATGCTCCTGGAACCAGCACCAGGGACCACCCTATGGAAGCTGGGGCCATGGAGAAGGCACAGACATGGCAGGAGAGGCTCCCAATCCCCATCAGGAACAGGGTGTGTGGACACTGATGTCTGCCTTACTGATGAGTTGATACCTCTGCCAGAGACTCCAATTTGTTCAAAAGAGATTGATTCAGGCTGCTGAGAGCCTGGACATGCAGCCTGTCCTCTTCCACCCCCACATAGACAGCAGGAAAGAGACTAGTGGGAAAGAGATACAACAGCCCAAGAGATGAGGCTCTCTTCACAGTGGGAAGGGAGTCAGGGGCTACTGGAGACAGAGGGACAGAGAAGAGGGAGGAAGACAAATGGAGGGACCTGCACCAGGGGATATGGGCACAGAAAAGACACGGAGACACAGAGAGGGAGGAGAGAGACAGACCTCTGGGAGGGGAACCCTCACTCATTCCAGGTGCCATGGATGGGATGATAAAGAGAGATGCCTTCTAAACTCACAACTTCTCTTTCTAGGAAACCACAGAAAACCTTCCCTCCTGGCCCACCCAGGGCCCCTGCTGAAATCAGGAGAGACAGTCATCCTGCAATGTTGGTCAGATGTCATGTTTGAGCACTTCTTTCTGCACAGAGAGGGGATCTCTGAGGACCCCTCACGCCTCGTTGGACAGATCCATGATGGGGTCTCCAAGGCCAACTTCTCCATCGGTCCCTTGATGCCTGTCCTTGCAGGAACCTACAGATGTTATGGTTCTGTTCCTCACTCCCCCTATCAGTTGTCAGCTCCCAGTGACCCCCTGGACATCGTGATCACAGGTGAGAGTGTCCAGACATTCTTCTCATTGTCATTGGGACACAGAGTGAATGATCCAGGACTTGGAACCCCCAGGTGGTCATGAGGAAGATAAGCGTGGGATTCTTATGGAGAGAGACTGACTCGGTGAGGTCTGTACCAACAGAGACAGGGAAACAGGAGACATAAGTACAGACCAGGTGTCATAACAGAGGACAGACACAGGGGCCATACGGGGAAGTAGAAAAGAGAGAAAGAGGTAAAGGAGACACTCAGACAGACAGACATGTGCCAGAGAGAAGTGTCCTTCCATGCTGACTTTGCTCAGAGACCTGGCACAGGTTAGAAGTTTCATTTCTGTTTTGTCTCCACAAAGTGCTTCTACGAGGAGAACCCAAGGACACCCATATTTCTGACCTGAGTTGGGCCCTGTGGCCTCAGGCCTTGTGGCATCTACAGATGCCATGTTTATTCTGACACCTCTGCCTTCCATGCAGTGGAGCCATAATTATCCCAGGATATCATGGCCCCAGAACACCAACCCCTAAATACTGTGTGTACTTGGTGTCCCCAGACTAGATTCTGAGGCTCATATTCCAAATAATCCTACATATAATAGGATCACTGAGAGACACAGAGATAAATCAGGGACTTCAAAAAGCAAAGGCATAAACACACAGAGAATGAGCCAGAGGAAGGGGATTGAGAGACTCACAGACACACAAAAAGAAAGAAAAGAGGGCAGAGGAGTGGAGAGAATGCTGGAAGGGAGGAGAGAAAAGCCCCAAAATCAGAACCCTGAGGGAGGGGCACAAAGACAGAGAAAGATAAAGATGTGGGGATGGATTGCAGAGATTCCAAATAGAACTAGAGAGACTGAGAGGCAGAGAAAGACAAGGAGATGGAGAGAGACAGATGATAGATGGATAGATAGATATAGATAGATGATAAATAGGTAGATGATAGATAATGGATAGGTTATAGATACATAGATGATGATTGATAGATGATACATAGAGATGATGATGATGATGATGATGAAGATAGATAGATAGAAGACACATATATAAATATATAGATACATAGATGATACATAGAGACTGACAGGCAGACAGAGAGGTAATAGAGAGAGAGAGAGATGATACATAGATACAGATAATACATAGATGATTGATGGATAGACAGATAGACAATTGATAGATAAATGATACATAGATATAGATGACAGATAATTTGTAGATAGACACAAAATAGATAGATAGATAATAGATAGAAATATGCAGAAAGTTATGAACAAGACAGAAAGTGAGAGACTCAGAATTATAGAAAAAGGAAGATCAAGTCAACCAATCCAAGGAGAGTCAGAGAGAATAAAACAATCCAAAAAGGGAAAGCATACCCAGGGGTGGGGAAGTGAGGTCAGAGACCTAGAGAGACAGAGAAGGCGGAAGGAGGAAATAGACATGAAGAGAGTTGGGGTGGAGGGTGAGAGAGAGAGAGAGCATTAGGTCATAGAGCAGGGGAGTGAGTTCTCAGCTCAGGTATGAGGGGAGCTGTGACAAGGAAGAACCTCCCTGAGGAAACTGCCTCTTCTCCTTCCAGGTCTATATGAGAAACCTTCTCTCTCAGCCCAGCCGGGCCCCACGGTTCAGGCAGGAGAGAACGTGACCTTGTCCTGTAGCTCCTGGAGCTCCTATGACATCTACCATCTGTCCAGGGGAGGGGAGGCCCATGAACGTAGGCTCCGTGCAGTGCCCAAGGTCAACAGAACATTCCAGGCAGACTTTCCTCTGGGCCCTGCCACCCACGGAGGGACCTACAGATGCTTCGGCTCTTTCCGTGCCCTGCCCTGCGTGTGGTCAAACTCAAGTGACCCACTGCTTGTTTCTGTCACAGGTGAGGAAAACCCGTGTCTGTCCCATGTCTTATGATCCTAGAGCCATAGCTGAGGAGCTTCCTGCCGATGATGGGGAGAAGCATGGACAGATGCAGAGAGAACACGAAGACTGGGTGTGAGGGGGGGGTCAGGGTGCAGGATGGCAGACAGGGCACCTCCAAACCCTCTTGCATGGCCTGCATGGAGGCCCATGGTCAGGGCTCCAGGCACCCAGGCAGATGGAGAAAGCGGTCAGGACAGACCCAGAGAAGGGGAGACTGGGCTCAGTTTGGGGAGATCAGAGGTTCCCTCAGCCCCTCAACCTTACCCATTTCCCAGAAGCCCATCCTGGCCTCTCACCCACACAGAGAGATGTCATCACCAGCAACCCCTACACTCTTTTCTTTTCATTTTCAAAAATATTTATTGAGGTTAAATGTAACTATATAATTTACCAACTTTACCATTTTTAAAAGTAAAATCTAGTGGTCATAAATACCTTTATATGCTGGGTGTGGTGGTTCACGGTTGTAATCTTGGCGCTTTGAGAGGCCAAGAAAGGTGGATCATTTAAGATCAGGGACTCGAGATCAGCCTGGCCAACATGCGGGAAATTCATCTTTACTAAACAGACAAGAAAAATTAGCCAAGCATGCCGGCATGCACCTGTAGTCCTAGCTACTTGGGAGGCTGAGGCAGGAGAAGCACTTAAAGCCAGGAGGCAGAGGTTGCACTGAGCCGAGATCATGCCACTGCACTGCAGCCTGGGAGACAGAGAGAGACTCTGTTTCTAAATAAATAAATACATCTATATTCTTTTTTTTGTTACCCTCCACCCTTCCCTTCCTGGCCTCTGGTATCCACCATTCTATTCTCTACCTTCATGAGATCCACCTTTTATCTCCTGCATGTGGTGAGAAATGGGAATCTTTGTAATGACCTCCAGTTCCATCCATGTGGCTGCAAATGACAGGATGTTATTGTTTCTATGGATGAGTAGTCTCCACCGTGTGTGTGTACTACAGTTCTCTATCCATTCACCCACTGATAGGCAGGTAGGTTGACTCCACATCTTGGCTACTGTGAACAGTGCTGGAACAGTCATATGAGTGCAGATATCACTTCGATACACTGATGTCCTTTCCTTTGGATATAAACCCAGTAGTGAAATTGCTGGACACTATGAAAGTTCTCTTTTTTTTTTTTCTTTTTTGAGAAAGAGTTTCCCTCCTTAGTCCAAGCTGGAGTCAAAGTGGTGCGATCTTGGCTCATTGCAACCTCTGCTTCCTAGGTTCAAACGATTCTCCTGACTCAGCCTCCCTAATAGCTGTGATTACAGGTGCACGCCACCATGCCTGACTAATTCTTGTATTTTTTAGCACAGACGGGATATCCCAATTTTGGGCAGGCTGCTCTCAAACTCCTGACCTCAAGTGAGGTGCCTGCCTCGGTTTCCCAAAGTGCTGAAGTTACAGGCATAAGCCACTATGCCCAGCCTCCTTTTAGTTTTTTAAAGTTTTTCCATACTTTTCTCCATAATAGTTGTACTAATTTACATTCCTACCAACAGGGTACCAGGGTTCTCCTTTCTCTACCATCTTGCCAGCATTTGTTTTGCCTGTCTTGCAGATAAAAGCCATTTTACTTTATTTATTTATTTATTTATTTATGTTGAGATGGAGTTTCACTCATAGTCGCCCAGGCTGGAGTGCAAGGGTGTGATCTCGGCTCACTGCAACCTCTGCCTCCCGCGTTCAACTGATTCTCCTGCCTCAGCCTCCAAAGTAGCTGGGATTACAGGCATGTGCCACCACGCCTAGCTAATTTTTGTATGTTTAGTAGAGAGGGAGTTTCTCCATGTTGGTCAGGCTGGTCTCCCGACCTCAGGTGATCCGCCCACCTCCGCCTCCCAAAGTGCTGGAATTACAGGCGTGAGCCACCGGCCTAAAAGGCATTTTAATGGGATGAGATGAAAACTCATCGCGATTGTAATTTACATTTCTGTGATGATGAGTGATGCTGAGCACTTTTTCATATACGTGATCGCCATTTCTATGTTTTGTTTGTGGAGAAATGTCTCCTCATGTCTTTTGCTCGTTTTTTAATTAAATTGTTTTATTGAGTTGTTTGAGCTTCTTATATTTCCAGTTATTAATCCCATCTCAGATGAATAGTTTGCAAATATTTGCTCCTATTTTGTGGGTTGTCTCTTCACTTTGTTGGTTTATCTTTGGTGGTGCAGAAGTTGCTTGGTTTGATGTAATCCTAATGGTCTATTTTTTGCTTTGATTACTTGTGTTTTGAAGGTTTTAAACAAAATGTCTTTCGTCAGACAAATGTCTTCCCCATTATTTTCTTCTACATGTTTCATAGGTTCAGGCCTTAGACTCATGTTTTTAATCCATTTTCATTTGATTTTTGTGTAAGGTGACAGGTATAGATGCAGTTTTATTCCTCTGCATGTAGATATCCAGTTTTCCCCACACCATTTATTGAAGACTGTCCTTTCTTGATTGTAAGTTCTCGGCACCTTTGTCAAAGTCCATTAAATGGGCTGGGCATGGTGGCTCACACCTGCAATTCCAGCACTTTGGGAGGCCGAGGCGGGTGGATCACCTAAAGCCAGGAGTTCAAGACCAGGCTGGCCAACAGAGTGAAACCTCGTCTCTACTAAAAATACAAAAATTAGCTGAGCATGGTGATCAGTGCCTGTAATACCACTACTCAGGAGTTTGAAGCAAGAGAATTTCTTGAATCCAGGAAGTGGAGGTTGCATTGAGCTGAGATTGCACCTCTACACTCCAGCCTGCATGACAGAGCAAGATTCCATCACACACACACAAAAGAAAGCCATTGGATGTAAATGCATGGATTATATCTGTGTTCTCCATTCTGTTCCATTTTTTATGTGCCTTTCTTTATGCCAATGTCATGCTGTTTTGCTTACTACAGCTCTGTAACATATTTCTAAGTCAGGTAGTGTGATGCTCCTGTTTTCTCTTTATACCTTCAAGTCTCAAGACAGTGGGCATCGCACACAAAAATTATGGAGAAAAGGATCCCAAGACTCCCAGGGTCCAACATTAGATAACAGAGTGTTGGCCATGAACCAACCTCAAAGATTTCCATTGAGTAGAGGACAAGCACCCTCATTTCCTCACATCTCTCCTGTCCCGTGTTCTAGGAAACCCTTCAAGTAGTTGGCCTTCACCCACAGAACCAAGCTCCAAATCTGGTGAGTAAAGGACCCCTCTTATCTCTGCTTTTGGAAACCTGGGGAGGTGGAAGCCTTGGATGCAAGTGTTGGCTCAAACCTCCCAGCTCTGTGAATGAGGGCCTGTCTTCCACCATCTCTGAACTCCAGACACTCCAACAGTGAAAGGGATCTAGGGCCACCAAAGGGCTCAGCGAAGTCTCTTTACCTTTAATTTCCTGCAGGTGAGACCTCCTACAAGCTAGAAGAATAATTGCCAATCTGACATCCTTCTCAGGAAACATGCAGTGTTTTTTCTGCCTGCATTCCTAACTGGAGGATAAATTCCCGGGGGCTTGAGAGAGGGAAGGGAAGGGAACATCTGATGAGGGTGGGTGTTTTAGAGAAGTTCCACTTGCCAAGGAATGAATTACTGTTGGTCATCAGGCAACCCTGGCTGACTCAGCAGAGCAAGAGCCTTGCCGTAACAGAGAACAGAGCTCATGCACGCACACTTCGACTCACTGACTCATTCAGCCACAGCCCCATGCTCAGGCTGTGCAGTGTGGAAGCTTTTCCTATTGTTGCCATAACAAATTTCCACAAGATTCGTGGGTGAAAACAAAACGGTTATTTAATTATCTTACAGTGCTGTAGCTCAAAGCATGACGTGCATGTCACTGGGCTAAAATCAAGGTGACAGCAAGGCTGCCTTCCCTCTGAGGGTTCCAGGCAAGAATCTGCTTCTCACTTTTCTCAGCTTCTAGAGGCTCCCATGTTCCTTGGCTCCTGGTACCCTTCCTCCTTCCTCAAAGCCCACAAAGACTGGTCACATCTCACATGGCATCACTCAGACCCTTCTTCCTTACCACACCTCTTTCTCTGAATGCTGCTCTCCCTTCTTCCCCTTCTTTTGAAAACTTGGGGATTCTATTGGGTTCACCAAGATGAAAATCCATCATAATCTCCCGGAAATCATCCAGGATACCCTCCTTTTAAGTTCAGCTGACTAGCAACCATAATTCCATCTGCAATCTTCATTCCTCCTTTCATGTAAAATAACATATTCACAAGCTATGGAGGCTAGGACATGGACATTTTTGGGGTGGGACAACATTCTCCTGCCTTCCACAAACAGTGAACAAGATGCATTTGGCCTCTGTTCTTGGGACACTGATCTTGCAGATGGTTAAATGGGAGGGCAGAAAATGTAGGCACAAGGGGACCAATAAATGAATGATCTATTGAGAAGCATCTGTGCATGAAATCTATTTATTTATGTATTTACCTACTTGTTTATTGAGACGGAGCCTTGCTCTGTCGTCCAGGCTAGAGTGCGGTGGCATGATCTCGGCTCACTGCAACCTCCACCTCCTGGGCTGAACGGATCTCCTCCCTCAGCCTCTCCAGTAGCTGGGATTACAGACCACAACCACCACGCCCGGCTAACTCTTTTTGCATATTTTCTGTAGAGAGGATGTTTCACCATGTTGGCCAGGCTGGTCTCAAATTCCCAACCTCAGGTGATCCAATAGCCTCTGCCTCCCAACACGCTGGGATAAGAGGCATGAGCCACGGGGCCAAGCCAAATTTTCAAATCAATAATAGATAATGCTGAGTGTATGATTTCAGGTGACAGAGAAGTTCTCACTAATCAGATATTTGTGACATTAATGAAAAACACGGATTGAACCCCTGAAAGATGGGCGGAAGGATTTTGCACACACAGCTGTCAGCCGTGAAGGCACAAAGGTGAAAATAATCTGATGTTGAAGGAAGAGGCTCTGCCTCAAATGCTGGGAATGACGTGGGGAGAATGACAAGACGACTGTAGAGAGACGGAGAGCACACTGGGTACACAGGAAACTAAGGAGCAACAAGGAGTGTGTGTTTGACACTCACAGCCATTGGACTCACCTCGGGGTAACCAGGAATCCCTACATGATTAATATGACTGACATGAAAATAAGGGAGGCCCAGGTGCGTAACTGGAATCTAGGAGACCGTGGAAAAGGCAATTCCCGCCCCACTGGTGAAATGTGGTGCTGATTTAGACACTAAATGAATGAAGTAGATGGATATAAGATATGTTTGTGAGGTAGAATCATTGGCTGGAAAGGCTTGCTGGGTTTGATTTTTTCCTGGTAGTTTAATCCTCGCTTCACTAACTTATTTCTGAGATTTATTTCTCCTGCATCTAAATCAATACCTGGCAGAGGAGGGAGAGCTAGATGAGGGGTGGTGCAAATGAAGGGACCTAGTATAGCATAATATACAAGGCTGTGAACGGTGGCTCACGCCTGTAACCCAGCACTTCAGGAGGCCAACGCGGGTGGATCACATGAAGTCAGGAGTTCGAGACCAGCCTGGCCAACATGGAGAAACCCTATCTCTACTAAAAATACAAAAATTAAACAGGCATGATGGTGGTGCATGACTGTAATCCCAGCTACTCTGGAGGAGGAAGCAGGAGAATGACTTCAGCCCTGGAGGCAGAGGTTGCAGTGAGTGGAGATCGCGTCACTGCACACCAGCCTGGGCTACACAGGGATACTCTGGCTCAAAAAATAAAAATAAAAAATACATAAATATAATAATATACACAAATGATGCAGGCACCTGAATTCCAATCATCATTTTTCTATTTCTCTATAATTACTTCTTTGATCCTTTATCTTATCCATTAGAAAATCAGCCTAAAACCTCTTCCATATTTGGCTTTCTGTGAACATGAGATCATATGGAAAATATGAAAGCCCCCTGAACCCACCAGCACAGGCCCTGAAATAGGGAAAGTGCTCTGTTCATCACAAGAAACTTGCCCCCTCACCCAAATCCCCCACCTCACCCCTACTTCCAATCACCTGTGGAGATACAGATAGATCATGGGGAGGTAAACGCTAATACTCCTTGGAGTGAGTTCAGATCTTGGAATCAGAGATCAGCACCAGCACTAGCTCCTGCTCCCCTTTCCTACTAATTCACAGGAGGACAGGTGGTTTTGAAGCAATAGATGGTGGAGGGGGTGGTCTTTCCCCCAGCCTCTCAGGTGGAACAGCAGCCTAACATGTGTCTCGCGAGATCACAAAGAGTAGCACGTTTCACATGGGCTTCATCATTATTTCCTGGCTGTTTGACATAAGAGAATTCTACTTTGCTTTTTTGATCTTGATTTCACTTTTGTGTCCTTTTCTTGGAGAATGTAATTTGAGTCAAGAGGGTTGTGGATGTAGAAACTGTAAAGCACATTCACTGTGTATCAA
Organism: Homo sapiens; assembly: GCF_000001405.40. Classification (NCBI taxonomy): domain Eukaryota; kingdom Metazoa; phylum Chordata; class Mammalia; order Primates; family Hominidae; genus Homo; species Homo sapiens. The sequence continues at coordinate 780,943 of NW_003571059.2, forward strand.
TCCCAGTTCAGTCTTTCCAGAGAAGACTCTAAACACCTGCTGTACTGCACCTGGGCCTATGCAAATTTCTATCACTCACCGTCACTCCAGGGAGACAGAACACACAGAGAATACGTTACATAGGCAGGTTCATTACTAACAGATAAGCAGCGAGTGACAACAGAAGCCTACATTTCAATGTGAGCCAGTCCCTCAAGGCTCAGAAAAGCTTCTCGGGACATATGGAGTCACCTCATTTGCAGTGTATCTGGGGGAAGCCAGAAAATAGCCCAGCCTGGGTTTTGTACCCTGAAGCCACAGGAAGCACTCAGCTAAAGCACTGCATGACGTCCTCCTCCAGGAAGAACAGGAAGACAGCACAGGCTGTTCTGAGACGTTCCTCCTGATCTCAGGACGTTGCTGTCTTAGTCCATTTTTGTTGCTATAAAAGAACACTTGAGCCTGGGTTACTTCTTTTTTTTTTTTTTTTTTTGTATAGTGCTTCTGATGAGCTTTTTTTTTAAATTTTTATTATTATTATACTTTAAGTTTTAGGGTACATGTGCACAATGTGCAGGTTAGTTACATATGTATACATGTGCCATGCTGGTGTGCTGCACCCATCAACTCGTCATTTAGCATTAGGTATATCTCCTAATGCTATCCCTCCCCCCTCCCCCCACCCAACAACAGTCCCCAGAGTGTGATGTTCCCCTTCCTGTGTCCATGTGTTCTCATTGTTCAATTCCCACCTATAAGTGAGAACATGCAGTGTTTGGATTTTTGTCCTTGTGATAGTCTACTGAGAATGATGATTTCCAATTTCATCCATGTCCCTGCAAAGGACATGAACTCATCATTTTTTATGGCTGCATAGTATTCCATGGTGTATATGTGCCACATTTTCTTCATCCAGTCTATCATTGTTGGACATTTGGGTTGGTTCCAAGTCTTTGCTATTGTGAATAGTGCCACAATAAACATACGTGTCCATGTGTCTTTATAGCAGCATGATTTATAGTCCTTTGGGTTTATACCCAGTAATGGGATGGCTGGGTCAAATGGTATTTCAAGCTCTAGATCCCTGAGGAATCGCCACACTGACTTCCACAATGGTTGAACTAGTTTACAGTCCCACCAACAGTGTAAAAGTGTTCCTATTTCTCCACATCCTCTCCAGCACCTGTTGTTTCCCGACTTTTTAATGATCGCCATTCTAACTGGTGTGAGATGGTATCTCATTGTGGTTTTGATTTGCATTTCTCTGATGGCCAGTCATGGTGAGCATTTTTTCATGTGTTTTTTGGCTGCATAAATGTCTTCTTTTGAGAAGTGTCTGTTCATGTCCTTTGCCCACTTTTTGATAGGATTGTTTGTTTTTTTCTTGTAAATTTGTTTGAGTTCATTGTAGATTCTGGATATTAGCCCTTTGTCAGATGAGTAGGTTGCGAAAATTTTCTCCCATTTTGTAGGTTGTCTGTTCACTCTGATGGTAGTTTCTTTTGCTGTGCAGAAGCTCTTTAGTTTAATTAGATCCCGTTTGTCAATTTTGGCTTTTGTTGCCGTTGCTTTTGGTGTTTTAGACATGAAGTCCTTGTCCATGCCTATGTCCTGAATGGTAATGCCTAGGTTTTCTTCTAGGGTTTTTATGGTTTTAGGTCTAACGTTTAAGTCTTTAATCCATCTCAAATTAATTTTTGTATAAGGTGTAAGGAAGGGATCCAGTTTCAGCTTTCTACCTATGGCTAGCCAGTTTTCCCAGCACCATTTATTAAATAGGGAATCCTTTCCCCATTGCTTGTTTTTCTCAGGTGTGTCAAAGATCACATAGTTGTAGATATGTGGCATTATTTCTGAGGGCTCTATTCTGTTCCATTGATCTATATCTCTGTTTTGGTACCAGTACCATGCTGTTTTGGTTACTGTAGCCTTGTAGTATAGTTTGAAGTCAGGCAGCATGATGCCTCCAGCTTTGTTCTTTTGGCTTAGGATTGACTTGGCAATGCAGGCTCTTTTTTGATTCCATATGAACTTTAAGGTAGTTTTTTCCAATTCTGTGAAGAAAGTCATTGGTAGCTTGATGGGGATGGCATTGAATCTATAAATTACCTTGGGCAGTATGGCCATTTTCACGATCTTGATTCTTCCTACCCATGAGCATGGAATGTTCTTCCATTTGTTTGTATCCTCTTTTATTTCATTGAGCAGTGGTTTGTAGTTCTCCTTGAAGAGGTCCTTCATATCCCTTGTAAGTTGGATTCCTAGGTATTTTATTCTCTTTGAAGCAATTGTGAATGGGAGTTCACTCATGATTTGGCTCTCTGTTTGTCTGTTATTGGTGTATAAGAATGCTTGTGATTTTTGTACATTGATTCTGTATCCTGAGACTTTGTAGAAGCTGCTTATCAGCTTAAGGAGATTTTGGGCTGAGACAATGGGGTTTTCTAGATATACAATCATGTCATCTGCAAACAGGGACAATTTGACTTCCTCTTTTCCTAATTCAATACCCTTTATTTCCTTCTCCTGCCTAATTGCCCTGGCCAGAACTTCCAACACTATGTTGAATAGGAGTGGTGAAAGAGGGCATCCCTGTCTTGTGCCAGTTTTCAAAGGGAATGCTTCCAGTTTTTGCCCATTCAGTATGATACTGGCTGTGGGTTTGTTATAGATGGCTCTTATTATTTTGAGATACGTCCCATCAATGCCTAATTTATTGAGAGTTTTTAGCATGAAGTGTTGTTGAATTTTGTCAAAGGCCTTTTCTGCATCTATTGAGATAATCGTCCGGTTTTTGTCTTTGGTTCTGTTTATATGATGGATTACATTTATTGATTTGCATATATTGAACCAGCCTTGCATCCCAGAGCCTGGGCAACTTCTAGAGAAAACAGATTTGTTTGCCTCACAGTTCTGCAGGCTGTACTGGAAGCATGGCACCAGCATCTGTTTCCTGTGACGGCCTCAGGCTGCTCCCACTCTGGCAGAAGGGAAGGAGGGTCTGTCTGTGCAGAGACCACAGAGATCACATGGCAAGAGAGGGAGCAAGGGGGAGGGCGAGCGATGGAGCTTCCAAGCTCTTTTTAACAACCAGCCCTCCGGGAACTAATAGAGGGGGAACTTGCTAACCCCATCATGTGGGGCAGCATTAATCTATTCATGATGGATCCACCTCCATGACTCAAACACCTTCCCATAGGCCCAAACTTCCACACTGGGGGTTAAATTTCAATATTTCAGTGTGAGGTTTCAAAGGGTCAAACATCTAAACTAAAGCAGCTGTATCCTCAGCATGTTCTATGGTTTCTATGAGAGCTGTAACTGAGAAAGCAGGAGAAAGCTGGGTCTCCCGCCATCAGGCTGCTTGTCCTAAGGAGATGTTCCATGTGGTTACCTGTCAATCAAGAAATGAGACAATCCATAAAGAGGAACTGCTATGATTAGCTTCTTATTGGATTCCCATCTTCCTCCAGGTATCTGCAGACACCTGCATGTTCTGATTGGGACCTCAGTGGTCATCTTCCTCTTCATCCTCCTCCTCTTCTTTCTCCTTTATCGCTGGTGCTCCAACAAAAAGAGTAAGTCTCACGAAGCAGAGGCCAGAGAGCTCAGGGCCATGTGGGGAAGCAGGATGGGAGCACGCGGGTGTGTGTTCCTCACTGGCAGGATGGTCCCTGGCCCAAGGGAGGAGCCACAGAGGCAGGGCTTTCTAGAGAGAGCACCAGACAACCTGCCCCTGCCTTCAGCTCACAGACCATTGCCTGGTTCTGAACTGTATCCTCACATCCCCTGCAGCCACTGACATCCAGAAGCTTCCATGACAGGCAGAAAGTGGGAGACAGAATCAATGGGATGCCAATTGAGAGCACTTCATGGGATGGGGTCTTGAACTCAGAGAGATAGAATGTCTGAGTCTGGATGTTGGCAGCTGAAGAGCCTCAGGCACCTACAGCCTCCCCCTGTGGGTTGGTGTCTGCCCATGAAATGAGGACCCAGAAGGGCCCTCCAAGCGGTTTTGATGACTTCCGTCTCCTACAGATGCTGCTGTAATGGACCAAGAGCCTGCGGGGGACAGAACAGTGAATAGGCAGGTAGGTCCTCCTCGGCCCAGCCTCACGGATACAGTCTTATCCCTAATAGTCCTGAAAAATGTGAGCACCCTCCCTCACTCAGCATTTCCCTCTCTCCAGGACTCTGATGAACAAGACCCTCAGGAGGTGATGTACGCACAGTTGGATCACTGCGTTTTCATACAGAGAAAAATCAGTCGCCCTTCTCAGAGGCCCAAGACACCCCTAACAGATACCAGCGTGTACACGGAACTTCCAAATGCTGAGCCCAGATCCAAAGTTGTCTCCTGCCCACGAGCACCACAGTCAGGTCTTGAGGGGGTTTTCTAGGGAGACAACAGCCCTGTCTCAAAACCAGGTTGCCAGATCCAATGAACCAGCAGCTGGAATCTGAAGGCATCAGTCTGCATCTTAGGGGATCGCTCTTCCTCACACCACGAATCTGAACATGCCTCTCTCTTGCTTACAAATGCCTAAGGTCGCCACTGCCTGCTGCAGAGAAAACACACTCCTTTGCTTAGCCCACAAGTATCTATTTCACTTGACCCCTGCCCACCTCTCCAACCTAACTGGCTTACTTCCTAGTCCTACTTGAGGCTGCAATCACACTGAGGAACTCACAATTCCAAACATGCAAGAGGCTCCCTCTTAACACGGCACTTACACACTTGCTGTTCCACCTTCCCTCATGCTGTTCCACCTCCCCTCAGACTATCTTTCAGCCTTCTGTCATCAGTAAAATTTATAAATTTTTTTTATAACTTCAGTGTAGCTCTCTCCTCTTCAAATAAACATGTCTGCCCTCATGGTTTCGATAATGTGACTCTTTATTCGCCAAAAGTTTCCAGTGTTATCATTACTATGTCCATATAACCTGATATGTTCTCTACTGGGTTCTCAGCCCTGGACTCTGAGCTTCTGGAAGCAGGGTGGAGCCTCATTTGTCTCTGGGACTCCAATTTCCATCCAAAGATGCAGCACATAGGAGGTTCCAAGGATCGTGAATCACATGAACAAGTGATATTCTTACTCTCTGCAGACCTGGAAAGCTGGCAGAGTCATTCCAAGATGAAACATTTGTAGAGTCATAGGCCTTGTTAGTCTCATCTCCACAGGGACACATGTCAACACATCATCTTTCATACTATAAATATACAGTCGCTCCTCCATATCTGTGGGGTTTACAGGTGTTTATTGAACCAAATATAAATCAAAAATATTCAGAGAAAAAATCCACAAAGTTCCAAAAAGCAAAAATACTATATTGTGTGGACACAAGTGAGGTGGTGTGTAGGCTGTATCAGGAATTATAAGTAATCTAGAGATGATTTCATGTATACAGGAGGATGTGCATGGGTTATATGCAAATGCTGTGCCATTTCATGCAACAGGCTTGAGCATCTGCAGATTTTGGTGTCTGGTAGGGAGGGGGGTTTCCTGGAACCAATCACCCATGAATAGTGAAGGACTACTGTATATAATTTTCATTCATCAATTTTATAAATAAATCATCAAAATGTATGATAATAAGATAAAAAATTAGCAGTGTTTTTATGGTGTGAAAATAAGCTTAGATTTATTTTTTCCTGCTTGTAACCCTCTGGTCCAATGTTATTTACTGAGAAGACATTCTATTCCACCTTAATCCGCATGGCAGCCTCTGTCAACTATAAAAGGACTGTGTGTACACAGATGTATTTTACACACTCTTTTCTGCTCAGTGGCTCTCTGTGTCCACTCTCATGAGGATGCTGCACTTTATGTGGCCTTATAGAACCCCTTAAAATTTGGCAGCCTGAATCCTCTAATTTCTCCTTCCTCTTTAAGATTGCCATTATTATTATTATTGGCTATTTGCTTTTCCATGTAAATTTGTAATCATTTTTCTCATTTCCACCAAAAACAATGCTTGTAATTTTGTTGTGACTCCCTTACATCTACAGGTAAGTTCTGTCCTATAGAAACATAATGCAAACCACATGCATTCTTTCAAACTTGCTAGTATCCAAATTAAAAAGCTAACAAGAAACAGATAAAATTAATTTAAGTTAACCCAATGGACCCAAAATATTATTAACCCAACAGACCCAAAATATTAACCTAATAGATCCAAAATATTATTTTATTATACAAGTAGACTCAAAATATTATCATTTCAACATGTAATCATGTGTCATCTTGGAAAACATCAGATCCCTGTCTAGGTGGGCAAAGATTTTTCTTCGTAATATCTCATTTCCACATTTCCACTTGGCACAGAAACTGCCCCCAAGGCTCAGGATACTAAGATGCAGTAGGAATGGGTAGATGTATCTGGAGGAAAGTGACTGAATGAAATTGAGACATCAGAGTCTGGGGAACTCACTAGAACTACAGGGACAGTGTGGGGGAGGGAATTGGGAGATGTTGATCAAAGGATACAAACTATCAGGTATTCAGGAGGAATGGGTCTGAAGATCTCTTGTACAGCTTTGCCACTATGGTTGACAATACTGTACTCTATACTTGAAATTTACCAGGAAAGTAGATTTTTTTTTTTAAATATGGAACACTTCACGAATTTGCGTGTCATTCTTGCGCAGGGGCCATGCTAGTTTTCTCTGTATCGTTCCAATTTTAGTATATGTGCTGCCGAGGCAAGCATGGGAGAGTAGATTTTTTTTTTTTTTTTTTTTTTTGAGCTGGAGTCTTGCTCTGTCACCCAGGCTGGAGTGCAGTGGCGCGATCTCGGCTCACCGCAAGCTCCGCCTCCTGGGTTCACGCCATTCTCCTGCCTCAGCCTCCCGAGTAGCTGGGACTACAGGCGCCCGCCACCACGCCCTGCTAATTTTTTGTATTTTTAGTAGAGACGGGGTTTCACTGTGTTAGCCAGGATGGTCTCGATCTCCTGACCTCGTGATCCGCCTGCCTCGGCCTCCCAAAGTACTGGGATTACAGGCATGAGCCACCACGCCCGGCTGGGAGAGTAGATCTTAAGGGTCCTCACCACAAAAAAAAAAAAAAGAAAGAAAGAAAAAGAAACCATAGGCCGGGCGCGGTGGCTCACGCCTGTAATCCCAGCACTTTGGGAGGCCAAGACGGGCAGATCACTTGAGGTCAGGAGTTCAAGACCAGCATGGCCAACATGGTGAAACCCTGTCTCTACTAAAAATGCAAACATTAGCCAGGCGTGGTGACACAAGCCTGTAATCCCAGCTACTCAGGAGGCTGAGGCACGAGAATTGCTGGAACCTGGGAGCGGAGGTTGCAGTGAGCCAAGATGGCACCACTGCACTCTAGCCTGGGGGACAGAGTAAGACTTCCTCTCAAAAAAAAAAAAAAAAAAAACAATAACCCTGCGAGATGATGGATATAACTAGCTTGACTATGATGATCATGTCACCATGTATACATACATCAAAACATCAAGTGTAATACACCTTAAATATATACAATTTCCATTTGTCAATCATATCTCAATAAAGCTAAAAGAAACCTCTAAGTTTCAACTTTATTTTCAGAAAGCTGTGCCATGCTTACCTCAGTGCCTAAGTATACTCTAATTCATGGAAATGGCCTTTAAAACTGCAGAGAGTGGCTGGGTGCAGTGGCTCACGCCTATAATCCCAGCACTTTGGGAGGCGGAGGTGGGCAGATCACGAGGTCAGGAGTTCGAGATCAGCCTGGCCAACATGGTGAAACTCTGTCTCTACTAAAAATACAAAAAATAGCTGGGCATGGTGGCAGGTGCCTGTAAATCTGAGATACTCAGGAGGCTGAGACAGGAGAATCGTTTGAACTGGGGAGGCAGAGGTTGCAGTGAGCCGAGATCCTGCCATTGCACTCCAGCCTGGGCGACAGGGTGAGACTCCATCTCAAAAAAAAAAAAAATACTGCAGAGAGTTAAGGCCCTCACTGGACACTCTCCGGTACCTCTGAGGTCAGTGGATAGAGAAGCAGCTCCCCTTCTTCTTCCTCGAAACAAAGGCCTCCTTCCTTCTTAGGTGTTTGAGACAAATTCTCCACACAGGTGCAGCTGAGTGCTGTAAAGTCCCACTGAGAGTTGAAGGTCCCCACTGCCAGTCACAGTTCGGTCCCACTGAGGGTTGAAGGTCCCCACTGCCAGTCACAGTTTGGTCCCATTGAGGGTTGAGAGTCTCCACTGCCAGTCACAGTTTGGTCCCATTGAGGGTTGAGAGTCTCCACTGCCAGTCAGTTTGGGCTTATTAGGGTTTATGCTGTGCACGGAGAATGGAACCTACCAATCAACTCTTAGTGACCAGTTAGACAGATTCAAGGCAAATTTCCCTGCTGGGAAATCCCAAATCCCAAAATATGCAGAGACCAATAGATGCCTCAATTCTTCCGTGTCTCCGTCTAAATCCTTGGGTCACTGTGACTCCTGTAGTTATGTGGCTTGTAATTCCTTGGGCCGTAGAATGGCTATGATAGGCCCTGTGCTAAGGGGACTGGTGACAGTTGAGACAGGAACATGGAAGCTATAGTAGTCAGGGTTCTCCAGAAAAAAAAATAATCAACACTAATAATGATAGATATATAGATAATGATTGATAGACAAATAATGATAGATATATAATGATATCACAAATAATGATAGACATATAGTTGGATAATGACAGATATATAAT